>NC_000001.11:211063374-211214890 GCF_000001405.40 Homo sapiens
GGTGGGGGTATATAATGGCTAAAGAGGAGATGGTAGTGGAGGGAGAGATAGAGAGGAAAGGGGGCGATAAAGAAGAGATGGTTCGGCCCGGTGCAGTGGCTCACACCTGTAATCCTAGCACTTTGAGAGGCCAAGGTGAGCAGATCACTTGAAGTCGGGAGTTCGAGACCACCCTGGCTAACATAATGAAAACCCTTCTCTACTAAAAATACAAAAATTAGCCCGGTGTAGCAGCGCATGCCTGTAGTTCTGGCTACTCAGGAGGCTGAGGCAGGAGAATCCCTTGAACCTGGGAGGCAGAGGTTGCACTGAGCCAAGATCACGCCACTGTGCTCCAGCCTGGGTGACAGACCAAGACTCCATCTCGGGAGAAAAAAAAAAAGAGAGATGGTTAATGGGTAAAAAAATTACAGTTAGATAGGAAGAATAGATCCACTATATATTTCAAAATAACTGAAAAATAGAATTTTTTAACACAAAGAAATGATAAACGCTTGAGGTGATGGATACCCCAATTACCCTTATCTGATCATTACACATTGTATACTTGTATCAAAATATCACATGTATCCCATAAATATGTAAATCTATTATGTACCCATAATAATTAAAAATAAAACAGTTTTAAGTGGATATTTGTTAAATTACTCTATACTACTCTGAAGGAAAAGTTTCTGAATTAAAACTAAAAATATGCATACAAGGAAGTTCACTGAAGCATTATCTGTAATTACCAAAGACTGGTAACAATCCAAATATCTATCAACAGGGGATAGCTGAATAGGTTTGGATATAGTAATGCAATGGAATATAATGCAACCATTAAAAAGAATGAAGGAGACAAATGCTCTTAGGAAAATATACCTATTATATTGATGAGTGGGTTAAAAAAATCAAGTGAATTGGCCGGGCACGGTGGCTCACGCCTGCAATCCCAACACTTTGGGAGGCCAAGGCGGGTGGATCACGAGGTCAGGAGATCGAGACCAGCCTGGCTAATACGGTGAAACCCCATCTCTACTAAAAAATACAAAAAAATTGCCCGGCGTGGTGGTGGGCAGCTGTAATCCCAGCTACTTGGGAGGCTGAGGCAGGAGAATGGTGTGAACCTGGGAGGCGGAGCTTGCAGTGAGCCAAGATTGCGCCACTGCACTCCAGCCTGGGCAACAAAGCAAGACTCCATCTCAAAAAAAACATAAAAATCAAGCGAATTTTAAAATAATACAGTATGACCACTTTTTTTTTTAAATGTATAAGTATATACAATTATATCAAGCTAAAAGCCTTCTGCATAGTCAAGGAAACAATCAGCAAAGTGAAGCGACAACCTACAGAATGGAAGATCATATTTGCAAATCATAAATCTGATAAGGAGTTAATATCCAAAATAAATAAGGCACTCAAAACTGAATAGTAAGACAACAAAAAACCTAATTTTTAAAAAGGCAAAGGATCTGAATAAACATTTCTCAAAAGAAGACATACAAATGGACAACAGGTACATGAAAAAATGCTCAAAATCACCAATCATCAGAGAAATGCAAATTTAAATCACGATGAGATACCACCTCACATCTGTTAAAATGACTATTATCAAAAAGATTAAAGATAAGCATTGGAGAAGACGTGGAGAAAATGAAGCCTTTGCACACTGTTGGTGGGAGTGTAAATTACTACAGCCCTTATGAAAAAACAGTACAGAGGTTCCTCAAAATATTTAAAATAGAATGACCATATGATTCACCAATCTCTCTACAGGGTATATCGTCAAAGGAAATGAAATCAATATGTCAAAGAAATATCTATACTCCTGTGTCTATTGCAACATTATTCACAATAACCAAGATATGGAATCAACCTAGGTGTCCAACAACAGATGAACAGATAAACAAAATGTGGCACATATACTACAACGGAATATTCAGCCATAAAAAAGAATGAAATCCTGTCATTTGCAACAACATAAATGGAACTGGAGGACATTGTGTTAAGTGAAATAAGTCAAGCCCAGAAAGACAAATATTGCATGATCTCGCTTGTATGTGGAACCTAAAAAAAGTTGAATAGAAGTAGAGAGTAGACTGGTGGTTACCAGGGCCTGGGAGAAAGAGGGAAGGTTGGGGATGATGTTGGTCAAAGGATACAAAATTTCATTTAGATAGGAAGAATAAGTGCAAGAGATCTATTGTATAACATGATGACTATAGTTAATAACAAAGTATTGTATCCTTAAAAATTGCTGAGAGTAGATTTTAAATGTTCTCCCCACACACAAAAATATAAGTATGTGAGGTGACACATATGTTAGTTTGATTTAGCCATTCTACAATGTATATATATTTCAAGACAACATGTTATACATAATAAATATATATAATTTTGATCAATTAAAAAAGTTTTTAAGGCCAGGTACAGTGGCTCACACCTGTATTCCCAGAACTTTAGGAGGCTGAGGTAGGAAGACCGCTTGAGCCCAGGAGTTTGAGACCAGCCTGGACAACACAGTGAGACCCCCATCTCTACAAAAAAATGGAAAAATTAGGCATGGTGGCATGTACCTGTAGTCCCCACCTACTTGGGAGGCTGAGGTGAGAGGATCTCTTGAGCCTGGGAGGTCGAGGCTCCAGTGAGTCATGACCACACCACTGAGCTCTAGCCTGGGCAGCAGAGTGAGCTCTTGTCTTAAAAAAAAATTTTTTTTTAATGTGGAAAAAGTACACAAATGCTTATAACGAAACACATAAACTTTAAAAAATGGTTACTTGCAAGAAACGATGGGTATTTCATGTTTTACTTTATATACGTCTTTAGTTTTAAAGTCTGATTTTTAAAACCTGATTTCTGAAAATTGAGAAAGCTTCTAGAAAGTGATATAAAGAGCCAAACGTCAAAATCTAATATTAAACTAATACTTGTTGAAGATTTATTGCAAATTGAGTATCCTTTTTCCAAAATGCTCGGGACCAAAAATTCTGGATGTTTTTGGATTTTGGAATATTTGCATGTAATATCTTGGGAATGGAACCCAAGTCTAAACAAAAAATTCATTTTTGTTTCATGTATACTTTATATACATAGCCTAAAGGTAATATCATCAATATTTTTAATAATATTGTGCATGAAACAGTTTGTGTACACTGAACCATCAGAAAGCAAAAGTGTCACTAACTCATTCCAGTGTTCAAAAAGTTTTGGATTTTCACATTAGGGATGCTCAACCTGTATATGCCATAGGGTTCATATTAAGAATCTCTGTCACTCTTCACAAATCTATGAGTACATATTATCCTCATTTCAAATTACTATTGCTATTTCAAGAGAAGAAAGAGGAGGAAATAGAAGCTTTTAGGAAATGACTTGCCTGACATCACACAGGTAAAATAAGTTGCCAAATAGACTGTAACCTTTAATGCTGTTTCAGCACACTATCCCTGTAACTGAGGGGAAAACTGCAGAACATACATATGGCATTTACCAGATGTACCATCTAATTCTACTTATAATGAGATGGTATCATGAGCTTTGAGCTGGAATACCCACCCCCCAGGACATGCCTACATGGTCGTGCCTACGCTCCAGCTATCACAATTGCATATCTCAGATTACATCTTGACCTGGCTTCCTCACGGGGAAGGTTTCAGAGATGATGTGATGGGGAAAGATGGTGTCCCTTCCACATCTTCCCCGCAGTAATCCCATGGAGAGAGAGGCCAGGCTGGCAGCATGGAGTGATCCCAGGCAGACCAAACCCAGCAGAGTCACTCCCGCATGGAAGCCACACAGCAAATCCTGCTGAGCGGGACTGCTGCTCTCTCCTACAAACTGAGACTTTCCTCCTTATAAGGGCACCAGGAGTTACAGCAGCAAAAATCTCAGAAGTGCATCCCTCAGATCCCCTTTTAAGAAGGATTCTCTGCCCAGCTTCAGGGACTGCAATTAGCTGACAGCCTCCAGCTGCTGGTTCCTAAGGGACAGAAAGCTGAGCTTCCAGTGAGCACCCACCCACGACAAAGCAAGAAGGTGGCTAAGGGCCTGGTCATTTTTGCCCTATATGGGACTTATCTAGCTGGCAATCTTTGCTGGTGGCCTTCCTGTCAGGCTGGTAGAGCCTCTGTGGATCTGCCCTGTGGCCTGATACTACCCCTGCCCAGTGCTGCTTCCTACCTGTTTTCACAGGTGTTAGCTCTGTGTCTGCATCTCAGAGAATCCAACCTGTGTCAAAGGTCCTCCAGCCTAACTTATGCAGTGACATAAGGTATTTTTAAGATCAGAGATTAACTGGGTTTCCTTTGCTGAGAAGGGGGAGATTTCAGCATCCCCTACCCGGTCTAAAGCCAGAAAGCCTGGTCGCCCTCATATAAGCAGTAGCAGGGGGCTAGGAAGAAGAAACAACGTCCAGAAGGAATTGCCCCAAATGAGAAACAGGATAGGTTGAGAGTCAGGTAAACCTGGTTCTCATTCCAGAGTCCACCACTTACCACCAGGTGACCTCGAACAAGTCAGTGAACTACCCTATGCCTCTGTTTCCTCCTCTGTAAAACCGCTCCAGGTTTAGAGGATTAGAGGAGACAAGAAGCACAGAATGTGGTACACAGTACTTGCTTCCTTCTTTTCTTGAATCAGTCTAGAAAGGAGATACGAGTTCTACAGTAAGAACTAAGGCCAGATTGCCTTAGCTCAGGAAAGAGGAACAGCCTAACAAGGAGATAAACCGGCTTTGAAAACAACATGTGCAATCTATTTAAATACAAAATTGCTATTCTCAGTCCACCTGTGCTTTGTGTCAATTTTTTCCTAGCAGTGGGAGAGGTTTCACTGAAGTCTCCATACTCTTATTCAGTCTCCATTTGATCAATGAGAAAACAGGACAAAATATCAGCTATGAGCTATGGATGGAGAACACATTTTTCTGTTTAGAACTTCCTACCAACTTCCAATTTCCAATACGTCATGTAAATGCCTTAGAAGCCATCACTCTCTTCTAATAACAAAGTAAAAAGCTGAACAATCTGAAAAATCAACTTTTTTGTTTTTTTTTTGAGACGGAGTCTTGCTCTGTCGCCCAGGCTGGAGTGCAGTGGCACAATCTTGGCTCACTGCAACCTCCGCCTCCCAGGTTCTAGTGATTCTTCTGCCTCAGCCTGCTGAGCAGCTAGGACTATAGGCACATGCCACCATGCCCGGCTAATTTTTGTATTTTTAGTAGAGACGAGGTTTCACCATATTGGCCAGGCTCATCTTGAACCCCTGACCTTGTGATCCACCTGCCTCAGCATCCCAAAGTGCTGGGATTACAGGCGTGAGCCACTGCGCCTGGCAACAACTCTTCTTAGATACATCAGAGAAGTGAGTGCACAGGGCAAAATGATACCTCCAAAGCTAGAAAGACAGACTGGTGAATACAGAGAATCACAACTGGCCCGAGCAGACAGGCATGAACAGAAACCTCCACAGGAACCAGTGCTGGGTAGGAAAATCTAAACTGTAACTGAAAAATTGCTGTAGGCTGTGTGGACAAGTCTGAGCATTAAAAACTCCAGGGAGGAACCATTCATAGGAAGTCGCTTACACTTTGTGAATTTTACCTCCAGGAACTATCCAGGTTCTCACAGTGAAGACGGAAGAAAAATCCCCTTGTGCTTCTGGCAGCAGGAGGAGAAAGGGAACCATGTTTATATACACCAGAGCATTCTGTTCTTAACAAGGCCTGACCTCAGGAGAAACTATTTAACCAGAGCCTAACTAACTGATTGGAGGAAAGGAAATACCCATCTCCAGCCAGCTCTAGCCACCCTGTCCCTGCCAAGGGGTGAGGGGAGGAATGAAAAGAACTCGTGAAATTCATAGCCCGGGGCACAGACTCACTAAAAACTGAGACCTAATCACAGAACTATAGAACATTCCTCCCCCACCCCCCACCCTACCATCACATTACTAAATGCCCTATTTACCTAGCACATGACAGCTGACTTTCAACAAAAAGTCACAAGGCATATTGAAAGGCAAAAACACAGTTTGAAGAGACAGAGTAAGCATCAGAACCAGACCCAGGTATGGCAGGGATGTTGGAATTATCAGACTGGGAATTTAAAACAACTATGATTAATTTTTTAAGGGCTCTAATAGATAAAAGTGGACAATATGCAAGAACAGATAGAACTCTAAGAACCAAAACAAAATGCTGGAGATAAGAAACACTGTAATTGATATAAAGAATGTCTTTGGTGGATTCATTAGTAAACTGAACACAGCTGAGGAAAGAATCTCTGTGCTTGAGGACATGTCAATAGAGACCTCCAAAACTGAAAAGCAAAGAGAACAAAAAAAGACCGGAAAAAAAATTTGTGGCTACAAAATTATTACAGTACTACAGTATACACAACAGTTAGTTATGCAGTTATGATTTAATATTGCATCTTTACATCTGTAAGTGTTCTGTGCTTATGTGTATAAGTTTTGATGAATTTTAACTTTTTATAATGGATTTGTTTATATTTTACGGTAGTAAGTGATAAAATAGGCTATTTTAGAGAATATGATAAAATGTTCCCTAAAACATTTCAGAAAACAGAATATTCAAGAATTGTGGGACAACTACAAAAGGTATAACATACACATAATGAGAATATCAGAAGGAAAAGTAAGACAAGAACAAAAGAAATATTCAAAGCAATAATCACTGAGAATTTTCCCAAATTAATGTCACCCACCAAACCTCAGATCACAGAAGTGCAGAAAACACCAACTCAGATAAATACCACAAAAACGGCTGGGGGGCTCACATCTGTAATCCCAGCACTTTGGGAGGCCGAGGCTGGCAGATCACGAGGTCAGGAGATGGAGACCATCCTGGCTAACACAGTGAAACCCCGTCTCTACTAAAAATACAAAAAATAAGCCGGGCGTAGTGGTGAGCGCCTGTAGTCCCAGCTACTCGGGAGGCTGAGGCAGGAGAATGGCGTGAGCCCGGGAGGTGGAGCTTGCAGTGAGCCAAGATCGCACCACCGCACTCCAGCCTGGGCGACAGAGCGAGACTCCACCTTTAAAAAAAAAAAAACACACACACACACACACACACACACACAAACAAACAAATCCAGTCATATCATATTCAAACTGCAGAATATCTAAGATAACCAAAAAATTCCTTTAAAAACTCAGAGGGGAGGCCAGGTGTGGTGGCTCACATCTGTAATCCCAGCACTTTGGGAGGCCAAGGCAGGCAGATCACTTCAGGTCAGGAGTTGGAGACCAGCCCGGCCAACATGGCGAAACCCCGTCTCTACTAAAAATACAAAAAGTAGCCAGGCATGGTGACGGGTGCCTGTAATCCCAGCTACAGGAGGCTGAGACAGGAGAATCGCTTGAACCCAGGAGGTGGAGGTTGCAGTGAGCCAAGATCATGCAATTGTTCTCCAGTCTGGGGGACAGAGCGAGACTCCATCTCAAAAAAAAAAAAATTAGGAAAAAAAAAATCACCTAGCCTAAAAAGAAGGAAAGATAAGAATTACAGTTGGCCCTTGAACAATGCAGGAGTTAGGGACACCGATGCCCCCACACAGTCAAATCTACATATAACTTTTGACTCTAAAAATTTACTAATAGCCTACTACTGACCAGAAGCCTTACCAATAATATAAAGTCAATTAACACATCTTTTGTATGTTATTTTGTATTACATACTGTATTCTTACAACAAAGCTACAGAAAATAAAATGTTACTAACAAAATCATAAGGAAGGAAAATACATTCACAGTAATGTACTGTATTTATCAATACCATAAATTTATATCATCTGTTTCCAATATGAATAGTCTGTCTGAAATGGCAGGCAACCGCAGCTGCAGACCCCAATCTATGATACATATGAAGCAATCTAACTTTTTCTTGTAACTAGTGCCACCTCGTATGGGTCCCCCAGTGTTATCAAGGTTTATGATATTCTACTAAACACGATAAAAAAAAACATGCTAGAGATTCTTGATGAGAACCTTGAGAGATCACTTTTTACTGCTATATAAAATTTACTAGAGAGAAGAACTGTTCAGGATGAGAGGATTAGCGTCACAACATTTAAGTGGACACTCACGATACTTGAGTTCACAGCAAGAACAACAGGAAGTTGCTACAAAACTATTACAGTAGTAAAGTGTATACTTTAGTTCATGTTATGCAGTTATGATTTAATACTGCATCTTTACGTCTGTAAATGTTGTTTGTGTGGAAACGTTTTTATAAATTTTAACTTTTTATAATAGATTTGTTTATATTTTACGATAATAATAAAATAGACTAGTGTCTACATATATTTTATGCATTCATGACATACCTAATTTTTTCAATATTTCTAGGCTATGCAGTTGGTCTGCATGTTTTTCAAGTCATTGTAAATCTCCAAAAAATTTTCAGTATACTTATTGAAAAACAATCCACATATTAGTGGACTCACATAGTTCAAACCCATGTTATTCAAGGGTCAACTGTACATCCAACTTCTCAGAAACCATGCAAGCAAGAAGATAAGTGGAGTGAGGTATTTAAAGAGTTGGGAGGAAAAAAAAACCCACCAACCTAGAATTTTGGGCCCTGTGAAATTATCCTTCAAAAGTGAAGGAAAAGGCCAGGCAGAGTGGCTCACACCTGTAATCCCAGCACTTTGGGAGGCGGAGGTGGGAGGATCACCTGAGGTCAGGAGTTCAAGACCAGCCTGGCCAGCATGGTGAAACCCCATCTCTACTAAAATTACAAAAATTAGCCGTGCATGGTGGCACACACCTGTAATCCCAGCTACTCAGGAGGCCAAGGCAAGAGAATCACTTGAACCTGGGAGGTGGAGATTGCAGTGAGCCAAGATCATGCTACTGCACTCCAGCCTGGGCGGCAGAGGGAGAATCCATCTCCAAATAAAAAAAGGAAAAATAGACTTTCTCAGACAAAAATGGAGTGAATTTGTTGCCAGTAGACCTGCCTTGCAAGAAATGTCAAAAGAAGTCCTTCAGAGGGATTGAGAATGATATAGGTCAGACACTCAGAGGTACATCAAGAAACAAACAGCATCAGAGAAGGAATAAGTGAAGGTAAAATGAAATTTTTATTTTACTTATTTTTAACTAATCTAACAGATGACAGTTCAATGAAAAATAACATGTATTCAATTATGCTTGTATATGTGTGTTTGTGTTTATGTATATGTGAAATTAGTTAAAGCAATGATACAAGGAATGAGAGGAATTAGGAATATCTTCCTATTATAAGGTACTTAGTATAGTATTATTTGAAAGAGGTTTGGATTAGTTGTAAATGTATTTTGCAAACTTTAGGGCAACCACTGAAAAAAAAATTTTTTTTGCATTTTGATTGCTGCTAAGGAAGGAGAAAAAGTTGAATCACATAAAATGCTCAGTTAAAACCAAAAAAGGCAGAAAAAGAATGGAAGACAAAATAAGAAGAAAAAGGGCAATGAATAGAAAAAAGCAACAAATACCAGAGATATTAATTCAACTATATCAATAATCACTTTAAACTTCAGTGGTCTAAATATACAAAAGACACAGACTGTCAGACCGGATGAAAAAACAAGACCCAACTATATGTCGTCTACAGAAAGTCACTTTAAATATGAAGACACATATTGATTAAAAAGTAAAGAGATGGAGAAAGATATATCATGCTAAAAGTAATCAAAGGAAAGCAGGAGTAGCTGTATTAATTTCAGACAGAGCAGACTTCAAAGCAAGAAAAGTTATCAGAAACAGAGAGGGGCATTATAATGATAAAAGAGTCAATTCTCAAAAAAGACATAATCTTTAACATCTGCACATCTAACAATAGAGCATCAAAAAATGTCAGGAAAAAATTGATACAACTGCAAGGAAAAATAGATGAATTCATTATTATAGTTGAAGACTTCAATGCCTCTCTATCAGATATGGACAGATTTAGCAGGCAGAAAATCAGTAAGGATATAGTTGAACTCAATAATACCATCAATCAACTGGATATAATGAACATGTAGAGACTACTTTGTCCAACAATAGCAGAAATCACATTCTCTCAAGGTCACATGGAACATTCACTAAGATAGGCCACATTCTGGGCCATGTAACACACCTTAACAAACAAATAGAAATCATACAATGTCTGCTCTCAGGCCACAGTGGAATTAAACTAGAAATCAGTTAGAGAAAACAGCTAGAAAATCCAAAAATACTTGGAGACTAAACAACACACTTCTAAATAATACATAGGCCAAAGAATATATCTCAAGAGAAAATAAAATATATTTTAACTAAATGAAAAAGAGAATACAAATTAAAATTCGTGGCATGCAGCAAAAGCAGTGTTTAGAGGGAAATTTTTAGCATTAAATGCATATACTAGAAAAGAAAAAAATCAAAAATCAATAAGCTTCTGCTTTAGGAAACTAAAAAATTAAAGCAAATTAAATCCAAAGTAAGCAGAAGAAAAGAACAAAAATTGGAGCAGAAAGCAATGAAATTGAAAACAAAAAGTCAATAGAAAAAAATCAACAAAACCAAAAGCTCATTCTTTGAAAAAAATCAATAAAAATCAATAAGCCTCTAGCCAGGCTAACTAAAACATACTAGCCCCTGAGATGAGACCCAGATGTTTGCCTTATATTGGCAATCAATGAGCAACCACTTATGCCAGACCAGTAGACTAAAACTCATTGTTTCCTTTCTTTCATTCATTCCACCAATTAAAAAAAAAAAAAAAAAAAACCTTAATACTGAGTAACTACTATGTGCCAAACACCATTCTAAGTGCTTGAGATTTATCACTGAATAAACACAATAAGTAAGTAAACTGTATGTTACATTAGAAGGTATCAAGTGGAAGAAAACATAGATCAGATTAAAAAGAGGACTAGGAGTTATAATTTTTCCTTAATTTGGTATAAATTTATATATATATAATACTATTAGTTTCATCCCTTTCTTATCCTCTTACATAACATAAATATATTAATAATAGTTAATTTTATATCATAGTTATTTGAATTACAGGATAGGAAGAAGAAAAATGAACATCACCAATGACTTTGCATCCTCTTTTGGGGAAAAGGCTGGCATATTTTCCATTGTACGTACAGTAATTGTATCACGTTAGATGGAAGTATGATTTTCTTATTGACTTATTTGGAGATTAAATATGGATTATAAAAATGTATATGGGTATCAAGTTGACAAGAGGTGAACTGTAATAATTCTATGTATCAACTTGGCTATGCTGTGGCACTCAGGTATTTAAGCCAACACTAAAATAAATGTTGCTGTAAAAGTATTATGTAGATGTGATTAATATCTATAATCAGTCAATTTTCAGGAAAAGATATAATCCTCTGTAATCTGAATGGGCCTCATCCAGTCAGTCGAAAGGTGTTAAAAGCAGAACTGAGTTTTCCTAAGGAAGAAAGAATTTGCTTGTGAACTTCAGCATCAGCTCTTCCCAAGGGTTTCCATCTGTCAACCTGCCCTGTGAATTTCGGACACAAGCAGCCAATCACCACAATCACATAAGCCAATTCTTTGCAATAAATCTCTTAATATTAAGTATCCTACCAGCTCTGTTTCTCTGGTAGAACTCTGACTGATACAGTTAGCTACGTAGAGAAAATGACATTTGGGCAAAGACTTGCAGTTAAGCATGGTGTGTACAAGGAAAACCAAAAAGGCCAGTGTAGCCGAATAAGAGTGAGCAAGGGGAGAGATGTAGGAGAGGAGGTTTTTCTATTAACCATAAGAAGCAGCAGAGAAAGTACAGGCTGTGAGTTGAAAGGTCTCCTTTAGTATCCTTTCTATCATCAGCCAAGCCCACATCATGACAAAAAATGATGCTACCATCATCCAAATATCTGTCCTTGTCCAAAATGGTACAAATGAATGCTCCCCATCTCCACTGTTGACAAAAGCTTCTGGTTACTACAAGGAGATCTTCTGTAGCTAACTCATTTGACATTACTGCATATATTCAGAACATTCTTTGTGAGCTGCATCATGTTGGTAGTGTCTCCACTAGAGGTATGGAACTCTGGAGCCAGGTTAGAAAGGGTCCCACCATCCAAACGTGGATCAAGGACTGACCAGCCATCTACAGGCAATGGGACAGTTTACCTGTTATCCTTGGGTAAGAAGGAGATTTGGAGTCAAGAAGGTATAATGCTTCTAACTGGCCCCACCCAGGTGTAGTTGAAAAAATAAAGAACAGGATTCCGGATCCAAGATGGCCGAATAGGAACAGCTCTGGTCTGCAGCTCCCAGCGTGATCAATGCAGAAGATGGGTGATTTCTGCATTTCCAACTCAGGTACCTGGTTCATTTCATTGGGACTAGTTGGACAGTGGGTGCAGCCCACAGAGGGCAAGCCGAAGCAGGGCGGAGCATTGCCTCACCCAGGAAGTGCAAGGGATCGGGGGATTTCCCTTTCCTAGCCAAGGGAAGCTGTGACAGACAGCACCTGGAAAAACGGGATACTCCCACCCAAATACTGTGCTTTTCCAATGGTATTAGCAAATAGCACACCAGGAGATTATATCCCGCACCTGGCTCAGCCGATCCCAAGCCCATGGAGCCTTGCTTACTGCGAGCACAGCAGTCTGAGATTGACCTGCGAGGCAGCAGCCTGGCAGGGGGAGGGGCATCCACCATTACTGAGGCTTGAGTAGATAAGCAAAGCAGCTGGGGAAGCTTGAACTGGGCAGAGCCCACCACAGTTCAGCAAGGCCTACTGCCTCTGTAGTCTCCACCTCTGCGGGCAGGGCATAGCTGAACAAAAGACAGCAGACAACTTCTGCAGACTTAAACATCCCTGTCTAACAGCTCTGAAGAGAGCAGTGGTTCTCCCAGCACAGTGTTTGACCTCTGAGAATGGACAGACTGCCTCCTCAAGTGGGTCCTTGATCTCCATGTAGCCTAACTTGGAGACACCTCCCAGTAGGGTCCGACTGACACCTCACACAGGCGGGTGCCCCTTGGGGATGAGGCCTCCAAAGGAAGGATCAGGCAGCAATATTTGCTGTTCTGCAATATTTGCTGTTCTGCAGCCTCCATTGGTGATATCCAGGCAAACAAGATCTGGAATGGACCTCCAGCAAACTCCAACAGACCTGCAGCTGAGGGACCTGACTGTTAGAAGGAAAACTAACAAACAGAAAGGAATAGCATCAACATCAACAAAAAGGATAACCACACCAAAACCCCATCTGTAGACCACCAACATCAAAGACCAAAGGTAGATAAAACCACAAAGATGAGGAGAAACCAGATCAGGAAAGCTGAAAATTCCAAAAACCTGAGAGCCTCTTCTCCTCCAAAGGATCGCAGCTCCTCGCCAGCAATGGAACAAAGCTGGATGGAGAATGACTTTGATGAGCTGACAGAAGTAGGCTTCAGAAGGTCGGTAATAACAAACTTCTCTGAGCTAAAGAAGGATGTTCGAACCCATCGCAAGGAAGCTAAAACCTTGAAAAAAGATTAGATGAATGGCTACCTAGAATAAACAGTGTAGAGTAGACCTTAAATGACCTGATGGAGCTGAAAACCATGGCACAAGAACTATGCGACACATGCACAAGCTTCAATAGCCAATTCGATCAAGTGGAAGAAAGGGTATCAGTGATTGAAAATCAAATTAATAAAATAAAGTGAGAGGAGAAGTTTAGAGAAAAAAGAGTAAAAACAAATGAACAAAGCCTCCAAGAAATATGGCACTATGTGAAAAGACCAAATCTACATTTGATTGGTGTACCTGAAACTGATGGGGAGAATGGAACCAAGTTGGAAAACACTCTGCAGGATATTATCCAGGAGAACTTCCCCAACCTAGCGAGACAGGCCAACATTCAAATTCAGGAAATACGGAGAACTCCACAGACACTCCTCGGAACAGCGACCCCAAGATACATGATTGTCAGATTCACCAAGGTTGAAATGAAGGAAAAAATGTTAAGGGCAGCCAGGTAGAAAGGTCGAGTTACCCACAAAGGGAAGCCCATCAGACTAACAGCGGATCTCTCAGCAGAAACTCTTACAAGCCAGAAGAGAGTGGGGGCCAATATTCAACATTCTTAAAGAAAATAATTTTCAACCCAGAAGTTCATATCCAGCCAAACTAAGCTTCATAAGCAAAGGATAAATAAAATACTTTACAGACAAGCAAACCCTGAGAGATTTTGTCACCACCAGGCCTGCCCTAAAAGAGCTCCTGAAGGAAGCACTAAACATGAAAAGGAACAACCACTACCAGCCACTGCAAAAACATACCAAATTGTAAAGACTATAAATGCTAGGAAGAAACTGCATCAACTAACGGACAAAATAACCAGCTAACATCATAATGACAGGATCAAATTCACACATAACAATATTAACCTTAAAAGTAAATGGGCAAAATGCCCCAATTAAAAGACACAAAATGGCAAACTGGATAAAGAGTCAAGCCCCATCAGTGTGCTATATTCAGGAGACCCATCTCACATGCAGAGACACATATAGGCTCAAAATAAAGGGATGGAGGAAGATCTACTAAGCAAATGGAAAGCAAAAAGAAAAAAAAAAAAGCAGGGTTGCAATCCTAGTCTCTGATAAAAACAGACTTTAAACCAACAAACATCAAAAGAGACAAAGAAGGCCATTACATAATGGTAAAGGGATCAATTCAATAAGAAGAGCTAACTATTCTAAATATATATTCACCCAATACAGGAGCACCCAGATTCATAAAGCAAGTCCTTAGAGACCTTAAAAGAGACTTAGACTCCAACCCAGTAATCATGGGAGAGGTTAATAACCCACTGTCAATATTAGACAGATCAATGAGACAGAAGGTTAACAAGGATATTCAGGACTTGAACTCAGCTCTGCACCAAGCAGACCTAATAGACATCTACAGAACTCTCCACCCCAAATCAACAGAATATACATTCTTCTCAGCACCACATCATACTTATTCCAAAATTGACCACACAGTTGGAAGTAAAGCACTCCTCAGCAAATGTAAAGAACAGAAATCACAACAATCTGTCCCTTAGATCACAGTGCAATCAAACTAGAACTCAGGATTAAGAAACTCACTCAAAACCGCTCAACTACATGGAAACTGAACAACCTGCTCCTGAATGACTACTGGGTGCATAACGAAATGAAGGTAGAAATAAAGATGTTCTTTGAAACCAATGAGAACAAAGACACAACGTACCAGAATCTCTGGGACACATTTAAAGCAGTATGTAGAGGGAAATTTATAGCACTAAATGCCCACAAGAGGAAGCAGGAAAGATCTAAAATTGACATCCTAACATCACAATTAAAAGAACTAAAGAAGCAAGATGAAACAAATTCAAAAGCTAGCAGAAGGCAAGAAATAACTAAGATCATAGACAGGCATGGTGGTGGGCGCCTATAGTCCCAGCTGCTCGGGAGGCTGAGGCAGTAGAATGGCGTGAACCCGGGAGGCAGAGCTCACAGTGAGCCGAGATCACACCACTGCACTCCAGCCTGGGTGACAGAGCGAGACTCCGTCTCAAAAAAAAAAAAAAAAAAAAGAAAGAAAGAAAGAAATAACTAAGATGAGAGCAGAACTGAAGGAGATAGAGACACAAAAAAAACCTTCAAAAAATCAATGAATCCAGGAGCTGGTTTTTTGAAAAGATCAACAAAATTGATAGACCACTAGCAAGACTAATAAAGAAGGAAAGAGAGAAGAATCAAATAGACACAATAAAAAAATGATAAAGGGGTTATCACCACCAATCCCACAGAAATACAAACTACCATCAGAGAAAACTATAAACACCTCTATGCAAATAAACTAGAAAATCTAGAAGAAATGGATAAATTCCTGGACACATATGCCCTCCCAAGACTAAACCAGGAAGAAGGGGAATCTCTGAATAGACCAATAACAGGATCTGAAATTGAGGCAATAATTAATAGCCTACCAACCAAAAAAACTCCACGACCAGATGGATTCACAGCGAAATTCTACCAGAGCTACAAAGAGGAGCTGGTACCATTCCTTCTGAAACTATTCCAATCAATAGAAAAAGAGGGAATCCTCCCTAACTCATTTTACGAGGCCAGCATCATCCTGATACCAAAGCCTGGCAGAAACACAACAAAAAAAGAGAATTTTAGACCAATATCCCTAATAAACATTGATGTGAAAATCCTCAGTAAAATACGGGCAAGCCAAATCCAGCAGCACATCAAAAAGTTTATCCAGCATGATCAAGTTGGCTTAATCCCTGGGATGCAAGGCTGGTTCAACATATGCAAATCAATAAACATAATCCATCATATAAACAGAACCAACGACAAAAACTACATGATTATCTCCATAGATGCAGAAAAGGCCTTCAACAAAATTCAACAGCCCTTCATGCTAAAAACTCTCAGTAAACTAGGTACTGATGGAATGTATCTCAAAATAATAAGAGCTATTTATGACAAACCCACAGCCAATATCATACTGAATGGGCAAAAACTGGAAGTATTCCCTTTGAAAACTGGCACAAGACAGAGATGCCCTCTCTCACCACTCCTATTCAACATAGTGTTGGAAGTTCTGGCCAGAGCAATCAGGCAAGAGAAAGAAATAAAAGGTATTTAATTAGGAAAAGAGGAAGTCAAATTGTCCCTGTTTGCAGATGACATGACTGTATATTTAGAAAACCCCATCGTCTCAGCCCAAAATCTCCTTAAGCTGATAAGCAACTTCAGCAAAGTCTCAGGATTCAAAATCAATGTGCAAAAATCACAAGCATTTGTACACACCAATAATAGACAAACAGAGAGCCAAATCATGAGTGAACTCCCATTCACAATTGCTTCAAAGAGAATAAAATACCTAGGAATACAACTTACAAGGGATGTGAAGGACCCCTTCAAGGAGAACTACAAACCACTGCTCGATGAAATAAAAGAGGACACAAACAAATGGAAGAACATTCCATCCTCATGGATAGGAAGAAGCAATATCATGAAAATGGCCATACTGCCCAAAGTAATTTATAGATTCAATGCCATCCCCATCAAGCTACCAATGACTTTCTTCACAGAATTGGAAAAAACTACTTTAAAGTTCATGTGGAACCAAAAAGAGCCCATATTGCCAAGACAATCCTAAGCAAAAAGAACAAAGCTGGAGGCATCATGCTACCTGACTTCCAACGATACTACAAGGCTACAGTAACCAAAACAGTGTGGTACTGGTACCAAAACAGATATATAGACTAATGGAACAGAACAGAGGCCTTAGAAGTAACACCACACATCTACAACCATCTGATCTTTGACAAACCTGACAAAAACAAGAAATGGGGAAAGGATTCTCTATTTAATAAATGGTGCTGGGAAAACTGGCTAGCCATATTGGAAAGCTGAAACTGAACCCCTTCCTTACACCTTATACAAACATTAATTCAAGATGGATTAAGGACTTAAATGTGAGAACTAAAACCATAAAAACCCTAGAAGAAAACCTAGGCAATACCATTCAGGACATAGGCATGGGCAAGGACTTCATGACTAAAACACCAAAAGCAATGGCAACAAAAGCCAAAATAGACAAATGAGATTTAATTAAACTAAAGAGCTTCTGCACAGCAAAAGAAACTACCATCAGAGTGAACAGGCAACCTACAAAATGGGAGAAAATTTTTGCAATCTACCCATCTGACAAACGGCTAATATCCAGAATCTACAAAGAACTCAAACAAATTTACAAGAAAAAAACAAACAACCCCATCAAAAAGTGGGCAAAAGATATGAACAGACACTTCTCAAACGAAGACATTTATGCAGCCAACAGACACATGAAAAAATGCTCATCATCACTGGTCATTAGAGAAATGCAAATCAAAACCACGATGAGATACCATCTCACACCAGTTAGAATGGCGATCATTAAAAAGTCAGGAAACAACAGGTGCTAGAGAGGATGTGGAGAAATAGGAACACTTCTACACTGTTGGTGGGACTGTAAACTAGCTCAACCATTGTGGAAGACAGTGTGGTGATTCCTCAAGGATCTAGAACTAGAAATACCATTTGACCCAGCAATCCCATTACTGGGTATATACCCAAAGGATTATAAATCATGCTACTATAAAGACACATGCACACGTACATTTATTACGGCACTATTCACAATAGCAAAGAACTTGGAACTGACCCAAATGTCCATCAATGATAGGCTGGATTAAGAAAATGTGGCACATATACACCATGGAATACTATGCAGCCATTAAAAAGGATGAGTTCATGTCCTTTGCAGGGACATGGATGCAGCTGGAAACCATCATTCTGAGCAAACTATCACAAGGCAGAAAACCAAACACCACATGTTCTCACTCATAGTTGGGAATTGAACAATGAGAACACTTGGACACAGGGCAGGTAACATCACACCCCGGGGCCTGTCATGGGATGGGGGACGGGGGAGGGATAGCGTTAGGAGAAATACCTAACATAAATGATGAGTTAATGGATGCAGCAAACCAACATGGCACATGTATACCTATGTAATAAGCCTGCACTTTGTGCACATGTACCCTAGAACTTAAAGTATAACAAAGAGAAGTTAAAAAATTAAAAAATAAAAAATAAAATAAAAATAAAGACCAGGCACCATCAAAGGCAGATAATGACAAGTTGGGTGCATAAAGCCTAATAAGATACCTTGTCAGGGCTTCCTAGCCTCTTACTTGCCCCAGCAAAAAGAAGAATGCCAAATTTTCCTAACTACAAAGATTATCAAAATAATAACAATTTTAAGTATATTTATTAAGATGTAAAAATGTTCATGATTATATAAAGTGAAGAAAAGGCAACATAATCACATTTAATGTATACACTATTCCTAGATGTGTCTGAATTTCATAAACATTAACATTTGAAAAATGAATTTCTTAGCATTTAGGAAATAGGATATCTACAAAGAAACAAGTTAAATGCACACACCAAAAAAATGTAAAATGCCATGTGGTTGTTGTGATTACAGGTACTTTTTATTTTCTTCTTTTCACTACCTGTATCTTCTTTGCCTATAACAGTATGAATTGCTCTAATAACAAAATTGTTTAAAAACTCCTTCATGTACATGAAGCACTTCTAGCTCCTCATAAAAGTGATTTGACACTTTTAATCTCAAGCAAGCTGAAACAGAGCTTTTCCAGCCTGCTTTTGCACATGGGAAAGTGTAAAGCTCAAAGGAGTTAGGTCACTTACCCAGTATCATACACTGTGGTGTGTAAGCCCAGCCAAGACAGGCGTCTGGGGGTCCTGAAGGTCCTCTCCATGATTAGCACACTAGTTTTGTGCCATTGCCTCAGCCCATGCACCCCCTAAAAGTGAGGCTCAAGATGAGCTAACCCTTTGCCCTTACCTCTGCCAGGCGGGAGTGCTTGTGGACATTCTCGCCTTTTTGCACGCTTGGAGCCAGCTGCTGCAGGACACCCCTGCTGCTTGTCAGTGCTCTTGTCAGCCGAGCAAACTTCCCCCAGCCTGAAGCAAGTGGAAGAGTGAAAAGACAGGGTCAACCACATCCCAAAGGTGCACAGACATTCACATTACAAGTTATACTGTCAGAAACAGACACCTCCAATGCCCTCCTAAGCTCCCATGAGTCACTCTGCATCCCTGCAAGCAAGACCCACTGCTCCGTAAAGCACCTTGTGTGTCGCAACTTGCTTTTCCCCTGCACTTTCACTTCATCCTAATCGTAGTTTGTGAAGTTGGTACAGCAGGTTTTAGTACCATTTTACAAATAGGGAGACTAAGACACAGAGTGCCTGGACAATGAGAAAGAGTCTAGAACATCTCTTCACTCTGGCCCAAGCCTTCTTCAGAAGATAATATCGGGTAATTGAGATGTTTCTGTGACTTGGTAACTTGGCTCAGGCTGTTCCCAGTCCCCAGGCTATCTGATCTTGCAGAAACAGTTGGTTCTGCATTTTAAATGGACAAGCTAGTCAAATGGCCATTCTATGCATTACCTTCTCCAAGGCCAGAGGAATAAGAAATGATTTCAACCCCTGGGTAGGTGGGGGAAAAGCAGTGGTAGATTTTAGTCTGCTTTAGGATGGGAGAAAGATGGTTGGTGACAGGTCCTTACTGAGAATCGAAGATGTCTGAGTGATCTTGACACCTTTTAAAGGCCCCCAAAGACAACTGTCCATTTCAACACTCAACAACCCATCTGTATCAAGGTTATGACCATGGCAGTTGCCCCATCAGACCCTTGAAGTCCTGTCAGTATTCTCAAGACCAGGCTTGGGTTTTAGGAGCTCCAAAAACCCAGATGTGGGGTATACAGCAAATAAACAGAGCATGCAACTATTTTTACATTACAGCTAAAAGCAGGACTAGATGATTTTATTTTTTTATATCCTTCAGAGTTTAGAAGCATTCAGCAACTTCCAGTAGAAATCTCATCTGCCAAATTTTACCCTGGAGCAACTTTCCAAGATAGACTTATAGAATCCAGAGGACAGTGGAGTTAAACAGAAAAATGTCCATATTTTATTTTTCTACACAACCTATGAGAATCATAAACTGGATAAATTTTTGTCAATATAATAAGAATAGCAAATCAGCTCTTTTTTATCTCATTCAAGAAGTGCCAGGCTTTAATAAAAAGCCAGTAGTGCTTTCATCCACCCTGATGCCACAAAGCAGAAATGTGGAACTGCTGGGGTTGGCTTGAAAAGATACACATAGTGGTTTCACTGTGGGGGGGTCCCATTAATGTTAACAGGAGGGCACAGCATGGACTCTGTAGGGGTCTTTGACATCTCCCCCAGTGTCAATGAATGTGCTATGGGAACTATGAACTAAGATTTTTTTAAAAGTCACTTTCAGAGGCAGGCTCTACTTCAGCTTAAAATAAAGCTGAAACTGGATTCTAAAAAGCTTTTCGAGAAGAGCAGAGAGTTTATTTTTCAGTCAGTTGTGTATGTAAACATCAGCAAGGGCTCTGCACCCACCCTACTACCACCACCACCAGCGTGATCTATATACTGTGAGAACAGTGACGAGAGGGAGCTGGCAGGGCAGGTGCCCCAAACCCCTTGGTTCATCACCTGATATAACATAAAAGAATAAAAAGAAATATCCCTGGACCTCTGGTCATTTCCCTAGACTCAGGATAGCCCCTCACTCTCTGGCCTAGCCCTGATTCTCTTTGCAAGAGTGGGCTCTTAAAAGAGTGGGTTCTCAGCTGGCTGAGCAAGGGCATGGGAAGGTGAGTGGGTGTTGAAAAGGAAATGGATGAACAGTGTGAAATCTGCATTACACTTCTACCCAGCATGGGCAGGAAAGAAGGAAATAAGTTTTCGCCCAAGTTCCCAAACCCATATTTTCCTTCCTGCTCTATAGATACTTTATAATGGCAATCATGCCTCGCCAGATGAAAAAATAGATTCATTCATTCATGTGTTAATTCTATAAACATAACTACTATGTACCAGGCATGGTACTAGATACTAGAGATACTAACATGAATAAGACACAGATTCTGGCCTCAGAGAGCACACACTCTAGCAGGGAAGACTGAAAAATTAAGAAATCATGACATAGTGAGCTAAGTTCTATGACAGGGATGAGTACAGAATGCTGTGGCCAAGACTGTCAAAAGGATGCATATCTAATCCAGGCTGGGGAGTCAAAGCAGGTTTCCTGGAGGAGATGGCACTAGAGCAAAGTTTTGAACAATGAGTAAGATTTAGGTAGACTTAAGGAAAGAAAGATATCCCACACAGAAGGAACAGCACCTACAAAGGCAGAAAATTATAAAACAGGGTAATATGCCCGTGAAGAACAAGACATTCTGAATGGCTGGATAAAGGGCCATGGTTTATAAGTGGGAGGGGGATGCCAGGTGTGTCCTGAGATGATGCTAAAGAGGTTGGTAGGGGCCAAACCAAGAAGAACCTGGACAGTAAAAACCTAGAAGGTAAGTTAAGAAATTTGAACTTCATCCTGAAACCCACTGAGAGCCACTGAAGGACTTTAAATTTGGTGAGGAGGGAGATACACATGCCAATTTGCATTTTAAATGAACAGAACAACAAAGTGGATAGTGGGCTAGAAAAAAAAAAAAAAGACTGACAGATAGAAGATATGTCAGCACAACAGGCAAGAGACCATGTGGGCCTGGACCAATGCTGTGGCCTGGGCCAGGGGTCAAGGGGAGACTTGAGGGCAGCTACAGAGTCAGGACTCTGAAAAAAATAGCTACACAGGAAAAGAAGAAGCAACCTAGGAGGCTCCTGAGTTTCTGGTTTGGATGACGACTGGGGTGACAGCTAATCAATGAGATTAAAAACATAGGAAGAGCAAACCAGTTTGGTGAAAGATAATATGTACAATTTGGACCAACAGTGTCCCTTATAGCAGACCCATCAGAAGAATCACTTCTGGAGAAAGTGAAACTCCTATTGTCCAAAAGGCCAAATGGGAGCGGACAACCCAAACTGAACTTAGCTCAAAATGGTCTTGTTCAGGGGAAATCAGACAGTCATTTTCCGCATGATTCATCATCGTCCTTCAAGGAAGGATACTGACCTACCCCAGCAGACTTACCTGCTCCTTGTATTGAACCCCCACTTGCTTTAGGCAGGCATATATTAGATCATTGACTGTGCTTCACTGTTTTATTTGCTTACCTGTCTATCCCTTCTCCCAAATAGACTCAGAGGCTCTATCGCAGGTGTTTCCTTGTGTCTAGCACCTAGCACGAGGCTAGGCACCCAACAGGTGAATACAATAGGTATATTGGACAAATAAAGAACAAATATTTTTTTTTCTCTCATCACCCTACTTCTGTCTGGGTTTCCAATAGATATAAAGTCCCAAAGGATAGGCGGTCCATTTCACAAACTCTCTTCAGTTTCAGGGGATATTTCTGTGCCTGTCTTTTGCCAGGCATTTTTCTGCACCCACTCCTCCAATTATATCCCACTTGGAAGTTCAACACTGAATTGAGCTCAAATGAAGAAACCCCTAGCCCAGGATTCTTCCAGTTCTATCACAAATGTCACCAGCAAGTTAGGCATAACAGGGCTGCGGATGCCATGAGAAAATTGAAACCATACCATGATCAGGAAAATGAGAGGGGAAGTGGGCAGGAGCAGAAGAGGAAGAGTATAGAGAGAAAAAAGATAAAGGAGGGGAACATAGTACACAATCTAGCAATCAGTTAAAAGCTATTTACTGGGTCTTTTCTCCATTCTCAGGAATGGAGAAATGGCTTTTCCCCTGTCTTGACTCCACAATGGCTGGTGGGTGTCAACTTAGCTGAGCCACCAATGAGCCTGAATCTTTCTTTTTTAGGCCAGAAGAGATGGTGTTGGGATGAGTTAGAATTCCAACTCCTCTGAGAATAAGTCCAGGGGTACCAAAAAAGACAGAGGCCAGCCTTGTCCTGAGATACAGGGTCAGAAATTCAGAGGAGCTGATAGCATAATCCAAACATCCAGCAAAGAACAGTGGACACAAGGTACAGCATGGAGAGTCAGTGCAGACCACTGCCTAAGCGTCCTCAAGTCTCCTCCCACAATCTTTTCCTTACCAATGTATAAAGAACCAAAAATCTAGAATGGCTTCCTCAAGTAGCAGTCACTAAATCATCACTTTCCCACCAACCTGAGGGCAGAGACATAAAATATTAACATTGAAGGGGGTGTGGGGCCTGCAACTTGTGTCTATTACTATTTCTCCCATGTCCAACATGAAGATACATGGAGAAGGGTCAACAGTTACAACAGTTTGCCAGAGCCTTCATCCTTCAATATTCTACATCTCTGGCTCTTAGAAACCTACTCTGAAGTTTTGCATTCCTTTTGTCGTCTGTATTTGGCTCAAGTTTAACTCTGAATTTAGAAGTAAATATGTGAATCTTTGAAAATGAATTTGCTCCTTTAATATGAGATTAGTTGGTGGGATAATAGAGAAAACAAGAGGATTGACTCATCCTTTGGTGAGCAATATAAAGAGAGAAAATTCTGAGCTTTACACTCTAATTCTATACTCATTTGCCCAAACCTGCTGGCTCAGAAGACAGAACGCAACAGAAACATATCCCACAGCCTACTCCCAATTATCTATAACAAAAGAAAAAGCAAGAGAAGGAACAAATGAAATCACTGGAGCATCACAGATTCTCATTTTAGGCAGGAATTTCTACCTACTCTCTCATTCAGCCTTTAAGCATACACACACACACACACACACACACACACACACGCACACACACACACACACACACACACCCCAGAGCTGTTAGCAAACAGCAAACCTAACTTGACTTTCATTCCCTTCTCCATGCCATCTGTGGGCACTATTTGTCAGAGAGTAAGAGAATTACTGTCAAAAGACAGAGAGCAAAGTGAAGATGAGGAAGTCAGAGGCCTACCTAGCTCATAAAAAGGATGGTGAGAACTGGTACACCAAATGACAGAGGGGGCTCTGGAAGCATTTGCACGACCCATCCCCTGTGCCTGAGGCTCCGGGTAGAAGAGAAGTTACTTTGTGTCAGATCCTGAAATAGGCTACTGTCAATTATCCCATGTGTTGGACCCTTTGTGGGCGATTTGTGGGAAAACTGGGGGCACAAACTGGCTTCTTGCACACTATCAGGATGCACCCACCCCAGCCCCAAGTCCCCAAATTAGGTACTACATGATCTGAGAAAACAAAGTAATTTTAAGGACAATTTGAACACAACTGATTTAAAAGGCTAATATGGTGGTGGGAAAACATCCCATGGGACAATGCCAAAGAGCAATTATCTGGGAATTTTCTGAGATTTTAGATTATCCACATTTCCATTCCATCTCCAAAGTGAATTCTAAACAAGCCTAAGTCAGCAAGACTCTTACGACTCTTAATGGTAACTGAGGTGCTGTACTGAAAACCCAGCTGGTCTCCTGGAAACAAGCTGCTGAGAGTACATCCAAGAAGAAATGTCAAGCCAGGAGAACAATCCAGCCACATGGCAGCATACTTTCTAGGATCTAGATTTGATCCCTGTAGCCAAAACTGCAGTTTATAGACTTAAAATAACAAGGCCTAGAGAATTATCATGTGCTTCCATCATAAACACACTAATATAAAGTTTGACTTGTCCTAAGCAGACCACCAAACCACAGTGGGCCAGGGGCATGATGACATGGCAAGTGGGAAGGTTTGAACATATCTGCCATGGCATTTGAGATGATAGACTTATAAAGCCATGTCTTTCAGGAGACATTAAGCGTGGTCTACTAGCAGGATTCCTACATCGAGGACTAACGTGTGTGTGTGTATGTGTCAAATTTTTATGAATCAAGCCACAAGTTACTCCTATTTATTTCACCGACAAAAACAATTAATATCTGGTCCCCTCAGCTAAGAAGAAACAGAGTAAATGTGTGTGTATCTCCTCATGAGTGTCTGTAAGTATGTATGTGTGTGTACCAAAACTCTTATCAGCAAAGAAATGCATCATTGAGGCAGGTTAAATGAAGTGGAGCATTTTATTCCTGGAAAATAAACCTAAGTCTCACTACATCACTCTGATTTATCCCTCTTCAGGTTTCATGAGCATCGAATGCAGGCACCTACATGCCAGGTACGGAGCATTCTGTTAGGTATGATTTTCCTACTAAATAATACCAGCACATCACCTACAAATGTTCCAGTAGTAATAAAAACAAAACATTTTGATTCAACCAAATCACATAACTTAAGTTTTTAAGAGAAAAATTGCAAAAATAGGTGTCAAAATATTCAATTGCCTTCAAAATATTACTTATGAGTTTATTAGGTTAAAAAAGCAACTGGCCTTTCTATATGGTAACAAGATGGTACTTAATCATGAGTGAACCTACTGCCATGAAATAGCTACTGCACTGAGAAATCTTCAAATTAGAAACTAGAAATCTGGCAATCATGAATCTGTAAGAAAAGGGAGACTTCAGGTGGCTGAAACACTGGTTGAGAGACTTTGCATCTGCTGCAGTCTTAAAACCAAAAGGCAGGCTGAAATTGATTTATTGAGCTATCAGACAGTTTTAAAAAATAGGATGCGCTGGTATTAACAGTACTGTGCTCTGAACTCCATAAATGTGAGTGTCTAAATGTGCCAGGATTTTAAATACCCTCAGAGGACACAGCCCTTGAGAGAGCAGCCACATAATGCTTTTTATTTCCTCCTATAATGCTCATTTAACAACAAAAATTTTGTCACACCAAAAATAATATGTCTCAGTTTAACTCTCCCCTGGACTCCACTCTCATCTCTTTGCTACATCTCAGAAAACCACAAGGAGCAGAGGTCTCCAGCAGAGCTGAAAAATCAACCACAGAGCCAGGTAGCACTGCATCATGAAAAAGCTTGTGGCCTCTTGGTTATCTTGAGTGTGAGCTATGAACGAGGGATGTGAAAGAGGTGCTATGTCACCCCCTTATCCCAAACCTCTGGGACTAACATGCCATCTTTTTTATATCCTGATGAGCTGGACCTCTTCAGGGGTACGGTTGTTCCAGAAATCCTGAGCCATCTCCTTTCCTGGGTCCCCCATGTTATGCAAACAATACATGCATATGATATGGCTGAGGCGAGTGCTAAAATCTGTGATCACACAACTGTTTAAATGACCCATATAGAAATGTTACTTAGGACCCTGGCTTCATTAATGTTATGTTCCAAATGAATTAACCGGTCACAGACTTAATCAACCACAGATGCAAAGATGTGCTAAAGTCCGCTTTAACAATCTTGAAGTGCCAGAATTCAGTCAAATCTAAGAAAGTTTATATATAAAGCAGATGAATGTAGCCATAGACCACCTCATTGGTATGACTGACATTTGTTATGTGAAAACTTGAAAAGATTCTGATGATACTAGTTGCCAAACTGTCTTCTTCTGCCTAACTAATATCAGAAAGGGTTAATTATTAAAGGTATGAAATTGATTCAAATGCTTTCCTAAACAAAGTGTTTTTTCTCTCCTTCTCCTACCCCGATACACTCCAGAATAACACAGTGCTTTGCTCTATACAAATTAAAGTTAGAATCTTGAGGTTTGTAAAGTGATTGCCTTGACAACCTTAAATGCTCTGTAACAAGAGCCACAATAAAGACAAAAAAGGCATAAATGTATTTGTACAAGTCAGAATTACAAACCTTTACATGAATCATCCTCAATTGGCTGTTTGAAAGCTGTTATGTCACTGAAAGTGCAAAGAAATAAAACCACTTTATCCTGTTCGTTTCGAATTGGAGCAATTTTCACAAAGAACCACACAGGTGTCCCTGAAAGGAATATCAAAAGGTTGGTCAGTAATTTGCATTCTCATTTGAGGGGCTATGGAAGCAAAGACTTGGGAATGAATAGGTACAAATATTAATTCATTTTTTAAATGGTCTTATTAATACTTCAAGTGCTGGGTTATCACACCATAAATTTTTTTTCTTGCTGGAATAAAAACTTTCACAGTGACTATTCAGTGAGGGGTTTCTCCTGTTCAACTAATTTTCCAAGTGCTGATCTCTTAACTTGTAAAGTGGTTAGGAAATAGGTTGAGAACCCCACCAGATGTTATGGAAGAAACTTAGGTACAAAGACCTAAAGACTTACCTTAGACCACATAATGGACAGTAAAGAGTAGGGGACAAGATAGGTCCTGCCAACCATGGCCAGCAGTCCATGCCAACTCAAATTTCAAACCTCATCCATTGCTAAAGGATCCCAGGGTCAAAATCCAGTTTAGGAATCCACCAATTTGACTCACATGACCAATCACACATGGGCCAGAAACTATATTTCTTTTTCTTTTTTAGACTCCCAGGCTGGAGTACAATGGTGCAATCTTGGCTCACTGCATCCTCTGCCTCCTGAGTGCAAGTGATTCTCCCGCCTCAGCCTCCCGAGGTAGCTGGAATTATAGGTACCCACCACCATGCCCGGGTAATTTTTGTATTTTTAGTAGAGGCGGCCAGGGTGCTCTCGAACTCTCAACCTCCAGTGATCCACCCACCTTGGCCTCCCACAAGTGCTGGGATTACAGGCATAAGCCACTGCATCCGGCCCAGAAACTATATTTCTACATCCCTCTCCTTAAAATAAAAATCTAAAAGATCCAATACAATGGTAAATGACAAGGCATTGAAGAAGGAAAGGAACACCACAATAATTCCCCCATACAAAGCTCTCCAGAAAAGGAGGATTCCAAGCAGGTTTGGGCTTCGATCACATTAGTGCCATAGGAAGCTCAGTGAATGTGTTTCAATATCAATCCTTGTTCCTGAGCTAGAGTGGAGGAAAAACGAGTTCTTCCTAAGCACTGTCTTCATCCACAGAAGGAGGTAGGCAGGGCTATTCTGACTGGCTTCTCAGAGAGGATACCCACTCAGGTATCAACAGTCAAATATCTGTACAGTCACTCACTGGCTTCCCAAAAATAATTAAGGAAAATAAATAAACATCTTCTAGCCATAGAAGACATCACAGCAAGAAGCACCAATTTATTCTATGATACAAAATTAAATGAGACACAAAGCAATCCAATGTTCTTTTCTTCCTAGTTCTTATATTCCAGTTCCTACAACAGCATCTAGCAGAACTGAATAACTATTTGTTGAATTTTGCATAACTGGAATAATACTTAGCATACTATTTTATAACCATTTGCAAATCAAAATAAAGTAGCTATTTCCCCACGCTAAGTAATAGTTTCCTATGTAGCCAGCACTGTGCTCAGCATTTTACATATATTATTTTGTGAGATAGAGAGCAGAAAACTCACTGAATCTTGGAGACGAAAATAGATCCTCAAGAGGTCACCTGGCTTTCTCTGTCCACAATCACATCAAACTCTGTACTAAACACCAGGGACAGACAGACAACTCTGATTAACATTAGGCTTAGTTAGCCAATCTAGCTTGACAACAGCTACTTTACAGATTTGGCTACACCACCTATTCACATGTCAGTAGTAATAACCCTGAAATGTACAAACAGGCAGCAAGTAGACCCAACGGAAATGTGTTCTCCTTAAATCTTGATTATCTATGTATTCCTCTATAGTTAATTTTAACCTTCTTTCCATTCTCTTTGCATAATTTTTAGCTGCCAGTTTCTATGTGTTCTGCAAATACCAACAGATTATAATGTCACCTTAAGAAGTGTTTTGAAAGAAAATTCTACCATATAAAAATCACAAATAGCATTTCAAAGTCAAGAATATGACCTTTGAATTGTTCACTGTTTTTGGAAGTATGTATTACTATTCCTCCTAGTCTTTTCCTCAGAATCTGCAGGATTTTAAACCATTTTCAATTAAGCAACAGAAAACTCAAAGTAAAGTGTCACAGCAATTAAGCTTATATCCTCACAGCTCTCAATTGTACCCTATCTGTTAAGGCAAAAACACACAAATCAAAAAAAACCTTTTTTTTTTTGCTCTAAAAAAATTTCAGCATTTTTTCAGATGATAAACCAGAAAATACTGCTAATTACTCCCCACTTAACAGGTGAATTTATTTAAACTGTGTCTCTGTTGCCCAGGCTGGAGTACATCGTGAGTCAGTTCTTGTCATCTGATTTATTACTAATTTGACAGATGTATTACTAATTTGATCAATTAGTAATAAATCAGATGACAGGAACCCACTCATGATGTCTACTCCTAGAATCTCCAGAACCCTCCCCTCCCAGCTGCAGCCCTGCAGCCCATCACTGCACTGCACCGGCTGGGCCCGATGCCTGGGAACTTGCTCATTCTTCATGTTTCATTTGACTACAGGGGTGGATGACACTAAGCCACCTCTCCAAGATCATGAAAACCATTTTATTAGTCATACTGGGAGGCCTTTTTCATTTGTCCACAGTTCAAACTTATCACGAATGAACTCTCCCCTCTTAACAGGTCCATTTGTTTAAAGTGTGTCTCTCTGTCACCCAGGCTGCACGATCTCGGCTCACTGCAACCTCCACATCCTGGATTCAAGGGATTCCCCTGCCTCAGCCTCCTGGGTAGCTGGGACTAGAGGTGCATGCCACCACACCTGGCTAATTTTTGTATTTTTGGTAGAGATGGTGTTTCACTATGTTGGCCAGGCTGGTCTCAAACCCCTGACCTCAGGTGATTCTCCTGCCTCAGCCTCCCAAAGTGCTGGGATTACAGGCATGAGCCACTGCACCTGGCCATGTTCCCTGATTAAACACATACTACTCTGACCATTCCTTTGCAGTATCTAAATATATATCTTGTAACAAAAATTCATACAATCAGGACATACTGCCTTAGAGTTCATCTTGAGCTAAATATGGGGGCTTTTTGAGGGAAATGACCTCCTTTTTCGTGATCTGGTGCTTCTCTGTGGAAGAACATCTTTCAGTGTAACACTCTGGACCTTTTTCCTAGGTTGGTTGGTAATCTGGGAGACGAGAGCTGGATATGTGTAGCTTGGCCCCTTCTCTGCTTTGCTCCCCTACCCTATAAAGGGGGGAAGGCAAAAGGCAGGAAGGATGGCTGGTAGGAGGAGAAGCCTGCAGTTCTCCAGTACTACCTGTGACTTGCAGGTAACTCTGTCTGATTCTAGGGTTCACTTTTAGAAAGTCACTTGCCTACAGGTATAAACTACATCCCCCAGCATCAGCTTTATTAGTCATAAAAGTAGTATCTTATCCTCTATTGCAGTAGTCCCCAACCTTTTTGGCACCAGGGACAGGTTTCATGGAAGACAATTTTTCCATGGACTGGGGGTGGGGATGATTTCAGGATTAAACTGCTCCACCTCAGATCATCAGGCATTAGATTCTCATAAGGAGCAGGCAACCTCACGTATACAGTTCACAATAGGGTTCACGCTTCTGTGAGAATCTAATGCCACCGCTGATCTGACAGGAGGTGGAGCTCAGGTAGTAATGCTCGCTCAGCTGTCGCTCACCTCCTGCTATGTGGCCCAGTTCCTAACAGGCCATGGACTGGTAGCAGTCTGTGGCCTGGGAGCTAGGGACCCCTGCTATATTGGCCTGATTCCTTTATCTCTCTCGATTGGTTCTGATCATGGACAGGGAAGTTAAGTGTTATGTACTGGCTGCCTCAAAGCTTAACAGCTAACGACTGTTTCTTTAAATAGATCATAATACACTCCAAGGGCAAGAGACCTGATCTACTTTCTCTGTCTTACCACCGGGCACCCCTACTTCCTGGCATTCAATGTAGTATTATGCACAGGGTCATGTGAAGCCATTGCATCGCTCCACTCCAGGGAGTGCTGCACAGCAGCCTTGGTGGGTTAGGTGCTCTAGGAATGCTAAATTTAAAAAAATAAATCCTACATCCAGTGTTTTCAGTCCCAAACTATCACTACCCAAACAGTCTAAGAAAGTGAGTAGAATGGGCTTAAATTTTCGTTTCTGGAATTCTTTCAGAAGAGAACATAAGTCCCTCCTAGGTGGTACAGACCAGTATTTCAACCTTTTCCACTTAAGAGCAAAGGATTTTTATTTAATGAAATATAACTTAAAGATTCAATATATGAAACAGTTGCTTCAGGTGAACGTGAACCATCTGGAACCTGAAGCTCCACCCAAGCCAGTTTCCCTTCTACCCTCCGAGGATATTCAGGTATCCTTTGGCTCCATTCAGACACTGACTTTCCTGCAGACAGAGCTTGGGGCAAGTAGCCTACAAGGGTCTCTCCTAGAACCCAAATTCTGCAGCAGGATCCATTCCATCAAGATGCTAGAGAGGCAATAAATGCAAATATTCATATACATACACAGAAAATCAGGAAGAAGTTAAATTTCTGCCTCCTTACCCAAGTGCCTACTATGGAAAAACTGAGAAAAGTAAGCATTTGATGTCCTACTGCAAAAAGGACAACGGGTCAATGTTAAATCCTTTATTGAAGAAAGATCTATGTACACACCCAGGAACAACATAGCACTTGATAACCCTACTGATGGCAGAGGCTGCTGCTGCTGGGAGGGAGGCTTTTTCCAGGATGAGGATGTCCAATGGGAGGGCAGTTCCAGGTCAGCCTTTTTAGATCACTCTGATTTTCATCCCTTATGTAGCTCCCTTAGGTCATGTAGTAATGAACCTGACAACCTAACCTGGCTTTGAGGTTCCTCAGCCTTGGCAGCCAGATAACAAAACAGCAAGGCTCAGATGTACGAGAGAATTTTTGGCCTCCATCAATCTTTTTTCTACCCTGGGCTTCCTCCCAAGTACTCTCTGTAATCAGGCATCTGGGCATCCAGACCATATTCGACAGCAATGGAACAGACCAAGCCACTGTGATTGGCTTTTGGGAAGGGTTGACCTCTAACAGGTCCAGAAACTAGACTTGAGGATGGTAGCCTACCCCAGGAAACAGAACAATTGGTCTGGGGTCAACTTTATGGAGATGAATGACAAGTACAGAGAGGATGAGACAGCACCAGAGGGATGTAATGGCCACTGGCCATTAGAACATCTGACACTTAGTCCCAAGCCCTGAGTTTGAGCCCTTTATCTTCAGTTATTCGGAGCCTTGGCCGCATCAGTTTAACTTCTCTCACCATCAGCCTCTTCATTTGTAAAATGGGGATAACAGAGTTACTTAAAATAAAGTAAAAATACCCACATGTCTGAGACATAGGTGTTTAAAAGTATCACTTTATTTATTTATTTATTTATTTATTTATTTTTTGAGATGGAGTCTCACTCTATTGCCTAGGCTGGGGTGCAGTGGCGCAATCTCAGCTCACTGCAACTTCCACCTCCCAGGCTCAAGCGATTCTCCTGCCTCAGCCTCCTGAGTAGCTGGGATTATAGGTGCCCACCACCGCACCCGGCTAATTTTTGTATTTTTAGTAGAGATGGGGTTTTGCCATGTTGGCCAAACTAGTCTTGAACTCCTGACCTCAGGTGATCTGCCCGCCTTGGCCTCCCAAAGTGCTGTGATTACAGGTGTGAGCCACCGTGCCTGGCCCCAAAACTATCACTTTCCTTTCTTCCTTCCTTTTAAATTTCTCACCTGTAAGATGGAAATGCCCAACCTCATTTCACATGGCTGTTTGAATGACTTAAAAACAGGAAGTATTCAAACTGTTTAACAAAACCCTGAAACTGCCTCTGCCTGTTTTTAGGGAAGAGGGCCAGTCTCAAATATAACAAGGGCAAAACTAGAAAAATCAACACTTAACCCTCAACATAATTAAAATTGCATTGATGAGTATAAAACAAGACCTAAATAAATGGAGAGTTGAATTGTTTGTAGGTAAGATTCCATTTTATAAGACGTCAAACCGCTCCCTCTAATATATATATCTAATGTAATTTCAATCAGTCTCAGCTGTTTTTGTATTTGTTTTTCCTCTAACTCTGATGAATTAAAATTTAATTCAAACAGAAAAATTAAGGTGTAAGCATGGCCAATAAATCTTTGAAATTATTAGAAAGGAATATAATAACAGGGACTACCTACTATAGTAATTAAGAGTCACTGGCACAGGCCTCAAAAGAAAAACAATAAAAATAATATCATTCATTGAGTACTTACAAAGGGGTCAGACCCTGAAACATTGTGGTTTACTTCTCACAATGACTCTATAATGTAGAATAGCTACTATTATTCCCATTTCAAATGTGGGGAACCCAAGTAGGCAAGTATCCTAATCGAACTCACATAGCTAATAAATTACAAGAGGGTTCCTAGAGAAGAAGACAGAAACAAACCCACATATGTGTGAGACCTTAGCATATAAAGAAAAGGGCATTTCAAATCAGAAAGGAAAAACTGGATTATTTAATAAATAGTAATGGGACAGCTGAATAAGCAATGTGGAAAATAAGTTAGATTATTGCTTCACATAATATATAAAAATAAATTCCAAATGGTTTAATATTCTAAATATTTTAGCACAACTATAAAGTTACCAAAAGGAAAAAAAGGAAACGTATTTTTATTATTTAGGTAAGGAGAAGAACTTCCTAAGCATTATATAAAACTCAGAACCATAAAGGAAAACGCTGACATAAAACTTGTTCACTTCTAAATGGTTTTTAAAAAAAAAGTTTAAAAAGTTAAAAGAAAAAATGTTTAAATAGAGAAAAATGTTTTTCAATATGTCTATGATTTACAATCAATATTCATTACATATAAGCAGCTCCTATCACTGAATAAATAAAAGATAACCCATTCAGCAAATAAGCAAAATATGATTGCTTTGCCTGTTAGATTTGGCTCTACAACTAGACTGTAACCTCCTCAAAGGCAGAGTCAGTTTCTTACATCTATATCTCTGTGACCCACCGGGTCTGGCATAGTGCTGAGCCTACAGTAGGTAATCAATATGTACCTGGCCAGCAGCTTCTCCTTGCTAGCACAGCAGAAATGCTGTCAGATGCCTTTCCCTGGGCTTCTCTGACTGGGAAACTAACCCAGAGCTCCCAGATTCCAGGCCGCCAGCCACACCACAAATTGTGGAGTCACATGCTGGGGAGTGTTGTCTAGAGGATGTACTGACTGCTTTTATTCAGGGTTAATACTTCTTGATTTTCTTGTTTGAAAAATTGAAAAATTAATTGAGTAGCACAGGAGTGAACACAGGAATATTTACTGAATGACTTCATTAATGACAACTGTCGTTGATATAAGAAAATCAGGCCAGGCATGGTGGCTCATGCCTGTAATCTCCACCTGGGAGGTAGAGATGGGTGGATGGCTTGAGCTAAGGAGGTGAAGACCAGCCTGGCCAACATGGTGAAACCCCGACTCTACAAAAATACAAAAAAAAATTAGCTGAGCATGACGGTGTGTGCCTATAGTCCCAGGTACTTGGGTGGCTGAGATGGGAGGATGGCTGGAGCCTGGGATGCAGAGGTTGCAGTGAGCTGAGATCGCGCCACTGCACTCCAGCTTGGGCGACATAGCCAGACCCTGTCTTGAAAAAAAAAAAAAAAGAAAGAAAAGAAAATCATACAGCATACTAAACATTAGGCAAGTAACAATACGAAATATACAGCACTCCAGAAATGTCAGGTTTTCCGAATGGCCAATAGATAGAAATCTTTCAAATAATCCGTCCTTCAACATATGTAATGGTATCCCAAACACTCATTCCAAACCATACCATGAAGCCTTCTGCTAATTACTCTCAACTCCCCAAAAGATAGGACAAATATTAATGCTTATCAATAGAAGATCCTTTCTACAAAGTTGTCCTTACAAACCCTACAGAATGAGACTGGGAAAAAAAGAACTAAAACAATGTATTAAAAGCTTGTAAAAATGAGTGGGAAAATGCCTATAATTAAATAGGATATATAGGCAAAGAATCTGAACAATTAACATTTAAAAGGGTAATTTTAAATGGATAATAAATAGGAAAAAAACACTTCAATCTCACTAGCATTAAAAAGCTCATTAAACAAAAACAATTGTGGGCAATTTGACAATTTAAAAGTTATACTATTCAATGCTGGTGAGGCATAATGAGTTAGACACTCACATTCTGTATGAGGACTTGGAAATGAGTTCAGTTCTTCTGGAAAGCTATTTGGCAAAATGTCTCAGAAACCTTAGTTCACATTCCTTGACACAGCAATTCTCAACTTCTAGGAAATATTTCATAATGTCAACAAAATATATTTGTATAACAATTTTTACCTCAGCATTCTTTTTAATAATGAAAATTGAGCCTCATAAATATCTAATAATAGAGGAAACATTAATAAAATTCTTTCTAAATTATATTTATGAGGAATTTTAATAATGGGGATATTTTTGTGACAAAGACTAAATAAACATATGATTTTTAAATTGTATACAAGTCGAAATCTCCATTATGTAAAATGTACACAGACAAAAACAAAAAGGAAACACATCAAAGAGTTAATAGTATAATAGTACTTCTCTGAGTCTGTTGGGTGTTTTTTTTTCTTTATATTTTTTGCATGCATTCATCATGGTAAAAATGCATTAATTTAAAAATCAGATAAAAAATATACTTCAAGATAGTGATATTTCACTTTTTAAAATCTCAACAAGAACTTTTCCCTCATAGAACTCTATATTGCTTTAAAATGCTGAATGTTTTACTCTATTGAACAGCGAAGTTTGAAAGTAGAAGCAAACTCTACCTCCACAGATGTGAAAAGAAACATGAACCCTCCTTCCTCCCCTCCGCCCCATTTCCGTTCCCAGTGGACTCCTCTCCTCCTGCTCACTCCCTGGCTCTGACGCCCTCACTTTGCATCACATGTTGTTTCTCTCCTGTTTCTTGGTAAATATCAGGTTCCTTTCAAAATCACTCAGCAAACATTCACCTCCTCACTCCTCAATGTCAGCTCCCAGCCAGACACTAGCAAGTTTTACTTCAGGTTAAATGATGAGTTCCTGACTGGAACGCAGGGCTTCCTACTTCCTGGGCTCTGCCTGGGGCTCCCAAACTAAGGGAGGAGCCCATCACTGGACACCACTGACAAAGGCCCTGCGCTCCATCTCCTCCATAGCCCCCTGGACACCTGTCAGTTTGAATGCCTCTTCCCCTGACCAGGCCACTATCATTTTGTTGTCAGAGGGATTCCTAACAGCCCCTCTACCTCCTGCTCACTAAGCTCTATTCCATCTCCACGCTCTAGCTGGAGCCATATTTCTTTTCATTTCTTTTTTAGAAGGATTTTGCTATGTTTCTCAGGTCAGATTCAAACTCCTGGGCTCAAACGATCCTCCTCCCTCAGCCTCCAAGTAGCTGGGATTACGGGCGTGAGCCACTACCTCTGGGCTTAGAGCCCTCTTTCTAAAATGAAATCTGATGACATACTTACCCTGCTTAAAATCCCTCAACACCCCTCACCTCCACCGCCTTCTCCACCACTACCGCTTTTAAGACAGATTCTAAACTATTTAACTTGGCCGTGTGACTGGCCCTTCCTAGTCTCTCCAACCTCATATTACTTCTCATGTATTTATACACACACACACATTTTGGGAGACAGAGTGAGTCTCTCTCTGTCACCCAGGCTGAAGAGCAGTGGCACAATCTCAGCTCGTTGCAACCTCTGCCTCTGGAGTTCGACAATTCTCCTGCCTCACCCTCCCGAGTAGCTGGGATTACAGGCACCCGCCACCACACCCAGCTAATTTTTGTATTTTTAGTAGATGGGGGTTTCACCATGTTGGCCAGGCTGGTCTCAAACTCCTGACATCAAATGATCCACCCACCTCGGCCTCCCAAAGTGCCGGGATTACAGGCATGAGCCACTGCACCCGGCCCCTCATGTATTTATATATTTATTTACTCCATGAGTTTGGGTGGAGCACTTTCTATGTGTCAGGCACTGGGCTGGGTGCAAGGGGTAGAGCTCTGAAAGAGACGCACCCTGTTGGCACGGAAGTCAGTCTTCACTACAGCTGCTTTCTGTCCTTGCTACTCAGAGTGTGATCTGTGGACTAGCAGCATCAGCATCACCTGGAAGCAGAACCTCAGATCCTTTGCTAGACCCTCTACATAGAAATACACATTTCCATTCACTGGTGAGTTCTTATGCATGTCAAAGTTTAAGAAGCATTGGTTTGTGTCTCTTGAACTCTCAATGCTCTCTCTCCGCTGCAGCCCTTTTCATATGCATTCAGCCTGGGATACTCTTGGCCCTGATCTTTGTCTAACTCCCCTCTATCCTTCCAGTTTCTGCATGGCACTTATGCCTGTTAGGAAGATTTCCTTCCCTGACCCCCTAGGTTGGAGTCATGAGCCACCTATGTGGTGTCACCATCAAAGCCCTTATGGCTCTGTTCCGTGGATGCTGCCCGTTCCCCTACAGATGCTGTAAGAGCAGACACTGTGTCTATCTCTTCATACTTGCATCCCTAGCAGCAAGCCTACTGTTTGCCATAGGGTAGTGGGTCAATAAAAAGCTATTGGAAAGACAAAAAAACCATACACACACACACACAGAATCCAGTGCAACTGTATAATTTCCAGGCTTAACAAATAAGTTCAAGTTTCTTAATTCCTCAAGAGAGGGTGGGATTTGGAGGTAGTAAGCAGGTCCTAGGAAGAAAACAACATTATCTGCATCATTTCCTTAGTTTCATGGCTCATGTTGTATGTACAAATTTAGCCTTGTCCAGAGCCCCCACTGGCCCACTAGTCATCTTTGTGTGAATTAGAAAGAGAAACTCCTTCCTCAGCACAGATGCAATTCCAGACCATGGTCCATGGAGGACTCAGCAAGCAAATCACAAGCTGGTTTCCACTTCCCCCTAAGCAGGGTATAGCCTGCACGACTTCATGTGGTAGCCCTGCCTTGTACTCACAATAAAACTGAGAATGGCCGTGGAGCAAACACTGGAAACTAATCCTGGTGCTACATGACCTCAGATGAGGAATTAACTTTCAGCTGTGCCTATTTCACAGAGATTAGAGATTCACATTTTAAAATACAGTCATGCCTTACACAAAGCTTATTTTCTAAAGGTAAAAGCTAGAGTAAAAATTGTATATGACCATAATTACTCTTGAAAATGCTTTAGTATCACCCATAAAGTAGAACCTGATGCCCAGGCTGACATGCCACTTTGGAGACTCTCAATAAGCCTACCACAACCTTCAGGGAGGGAAGAAATGCTGATTCTTTGGTAGCCCATCATTTGATCTAGTTGGTTTACCTGGGTAGTTCATGTCTACCTAAAGTACAGATCTTCAAATATCAGAATCAATCACTTTCAGCATAGTAAGATCCTCATAATACAGGATCTTCAGCCCCAGAGACAGCTAGGAAAAGGCAGATTGCCCTCTCGCATCTCAAACTCACTCTGGGGCATATGTTCACTGAAACCAATGGCAAGTGAATTATTAGTGCTGCCAACGTGGAAAACTTTTAACTTATTCCATTAGTTTATGACACATGTGCAGACCATGTCTTTCCCATGAGAAAGCCACGGTTGGTATGCTTCTGGTACGAGCTGTTGCTTTGAGTTGAGTTGTGTTCCCCTATAGTGGAAAGACTGGCATACAGCCCTTCACAGTCTTTCCCTTCGTTCCTCTCCTAGCTAATAGTGGGGTGGGAACTAGATCTGCTGGCAGAGGGAGTGAACTGGAGCAAGGCAACAAATCCAGTGTGAAAGCTTTGGTAACAACCCTCTTGGGCTTGTGGATGGCCAGTGCAAATCTCTCAGACCAGTATCGGCACAGACCACCAAGCGAACAGTAATCTCAGTCACCTACTCCAATACCGCAGACCTGAAAAAAAATCCCAGCCCCTCCCAGATAAAAACAACGCATGCCCTTTACTTTCCAGGGCAAAACATATCACTCAAACCTGAATGCCACCAAATTAAACGGTTATCCTCATGTGCCATAAGGACCACCCCGGAGTTGTTCAATTGAATCAATTTCCTACCAGTCAATCCTACGTATAAAGAACAGGACTTCTTACAAAACTAGTGTTTTTAAAAAACAGAAACAAACCACTATTAACACCCATGCAGCCTTGCTAGGCCCATATGCCCTACTTTCCATACTTCTAATACAGCTAATCTCCAACAGGAAACCTCCTAAGGGAAGAGCAAGTTTTATACTTCTGTATGGCTACTGACCTAAAACCTCATTAACATACTTTGTGGAAGTAATTGTAGCCAAAAACAAATACAAATTAACAATGCATTGTTGTTAATACTGGGGACAAACTTTTATTTAGAAACGCTTAATTAGGCACCCACTGTGTTACTTGTGCTAAGTGCTGTGGAAGATAGATACAAAGATGAACTGGACAGAATTTCTGTCTCATCTTCTCCCTCCCTTGTTAAAAAGTCTACAAGGGCCTTAAGCTAGCAACTCACCATATGTAAACCAATAGGAAAAAACACTAAGTCTCAGCAACAACAATATAGATGAAGAAGGCTTAATTAGTTAGTGACAAGAACCTCATCAAATGTTCCTGTGAGAAACAGTGTAAGTGATCAATCTATATCATCCATCCCAACATACACAAGGGCTTCAAGTAACAGCATTTAGCTGGTGGGAGAGAAGAAAAACCAAGACAGCAACAGAGGAAGAGGAGATATTTTACTATTTCAAACACATAAAGGTATGGTTCAGAATGGTCTCAATACTCACTGTTCTTCTTGTACATCAGAATTTCAAAGGAATTCATCTCATAGTTCTCAAATGTTTGCCGCACTTTTTCAATCGTGTCTTTATCAGTCAGCTCCCCATACATAAAACTGCAAACAACCAAAGAACTCAAGTTAGATTAAGAAGTATTCATTATTCTACAAGCATATGTTAAATATCTGTTCTATATTCAGCACTGTGCTATGTACTGTGGAACACACACACACACAATGAAAACAATCACTGACTCAAAAAAATTTACTGATTCAACTGTGAATAAGACTTTTTCATTGTCTCCAAAAAACTAACAGTCTAATGAGAGATACACACCATAAAACAGATCAGAAAACAGTGGATTAGAGAACAGTGTGATCACTGCCACAATGGCAGCGCACATAATGAATTACAGAACACACAGAATAGGCACAGTGCACTCCCTGGTTGATCAGAGAATGCTTTCCAGAAGTAAGGACAGATTAGGTCTAAGGGGCAGGAAGGAGGGGAAATGGCTGAGAGAAAGAAGGAGAAAAACATTCCAAACAAAAGACAAGCAACTGCAAAGGCACAGAGGTGACAGTCAGATTAATTCCAGACCCTGATTATAGTTCATTTCAGTATGATTGAAATATAGACAATGAGAGGGAAATTTGCAACAGATAATATAGAGAAGTAAACAGAGGCAAGATCATGGAGGAGACCACGGCATTATAAGCCATGGGAAGTAATTTAATCTTCATCTTGAAAGCAATGGGAGCACAATGGGAGGGTTTTAAGCAAAGGAGAAACATAATCAGATTTCATTTTAGAAATACAACTCTGGGAGACTTCCTGGTAAAGATGGCTGAGTAAGTTTAGACCATAGATTTTTTTCCTTTTCTAGTTCTCAGCAAAAAAAAAATTCATTTATTTAAATGTACATGTAATTTATTAGAGAAAACCTCAGGATACTAGAAGGTCTACCTGCTAACACTAGTTCTCACCAGAAGCAAGAAAAATGCCAGGACTGTTTATTTTCCTGGGCCCCACACTGAATCTGGTCTAAAAATCATGGTTTGTCCCTCTGGGAACAGGATATACTTCCAATTAAGTAGAATGAATAATGGCACAGGAGACTAACAAAATGCCAGAGGAGGGGGAAAAAAACATCTTTCAATGGGGCTGGAATGTCCAGTTCTCTGACAAAGGCTGCCCACGGGCCCAGCCAGCATTTCCCCTGCCCACTCCAGGCCTTCAGACTGCAATAACAAGAAAGAGCAGCAATGATCACTCCTCAAGTCTTAGGTATTGCACAAACTGCCATGGGTTCCTAAATGTCACTGTAAAGTAAATATAATCTAACCTTTTTTTATGACTTGAATCACAAAAACACAGAATTTCAGAGCTACAAAGAACCTCAGGGGTTATCAAGTGCAATTTCTGATCTAAAACTGAACCACCAAGTCAAGCACCATGCTTAGCTTGATACCAGAACAGCCTTGGGCTTACTACAGGCTTCCAAATTCTGGTACCCAATAAGAAGAGAGTCCTAGCTGTTGACTTTGTGAATTCCGTATCACAGTTGTTATCTTATGTCCCTTCCCAGCCCTCTGAGGAATGTGATTATCTGTGGTTGTCCTTACGCACTCATGTAGTTCTCTGCTTTGGGGCTGTACTCTTTGTCTATAAGCCAGGAAACGGAAAACTGAGCTTGTTAAATTATCTCTAGAAAGAAGAATAGATCAAGACTAATTTAGCCCTGCCTGAGAATAAGAGGATTTTTCCTCTTTCTCCTTGTGAGTTAATTTTCTAGATAACTGACCTCCATTTAAATGAAGTGATGGTATATATGCAAGCAATTTCCTTAACAAGGTAAAAGAAATCCCTGTAAAGTTGAATCTTCAAATAAATGAAGTACTATAATTATACCTAGTTTTCATTCATCTTATGTACTTTTTCAGGCTGTAGATTACCAGTAGTTCTAAATTTCCTTTACCTGGATCTCAGATTGCAAATGCTTACAACGCACAAAATAAATAAAAGAGACTCCTGAGCTATCAGGAACATAGCTAGCACAAAGGTATGTTCATTTATAGAGAAGGGATACCTTCGGGTAATTCAATAAGTTGCTAAAAACTGTGCATAAAAGAAAAGTTGGTTAAATTAGCAAGTTATTTTATCTGATTTCCTTAAAGTGTTTGATTATAGCCAATAAGAAAGGTAAGGAAAGGCTGTTCAAGTCACACTAAAAAGTGAAGCTATGTCTCTCAAATTGTTCTGATTATATATGTGCAGGACAGATAGAGATGTAGATGCAGACAAATAGATCTATAAATACCTAAGAGGATAACAGCACACAAAGAATGTAAGATAATTCTATTACATTAAGAATTATAATGTCTAAACCTTTGAACATTTGAGGGAAGAATCTTCAATTTTCTATTTCTCAGTCCCCAAAATCTAAGATTTAAGAAAGTGGAAATATTTTCAAAACATTTGATACTTCCTTCTTATGAGCTCAAACATTTATTTTATTTTAGAAGAGTATTTTATTTTAAAATAATGTAAAGTGACATGGCTGACTTAGTAAGTAAAAATGCAACTTCTGAAAACAGAAGACTATGCTTGGTCAGACAGGCTTCTCCACTCTTCATAGATGAGTTTGTTTCCTGATTTGGCATGAATGATTCCACTTCATGCAAACACCACTGAAGACAGAAGACTGAAGAAGGCAGAGACTGAGAGGAGCCAAAAGGCTATGGTGGGCCAAGACCTTGCCAGGGCACAGCAGGGGAATGTCTGGCAGGATCCAGGCTATATGTCTGGCTCAACACCTGGAAGATGCTTTAAAAGAGCTTTTCTAACACCACGGCCCAAGGACACTGCTTGGTTAGAAACCCTGTAAAAATATACCAGCTTCACTGTCAGTACAATTTGCTAAGAGTTCAGAGAGAGAGAGAGGTAACAGCATGAATTAGAAGGCAACAAAATATTGGTTCTCTCATCTTTTTCTGAAGTAAAAAACTTTGGCTGAGGCCAGGCATGGTGGCTCACGCCTATAATCCAGCACTTTGGGAGGCCAAGGCGGGCAGACCACCTAAGGTCAGGAGTTCGAGACCAGCCTGGCCAACATGGTGAAACCCCCATCTCTACTAAAAATACAAAAAAAAAAAAAAATTAGCCAGGTGTGGTGGCACGTGCCTGTAATCCCAGCTACTCAGGAGGCTGAATCAGGAGAACTGCTTGAACCCAGGAGACAGAGGCTGCAGTGAGCCAAGATCATGTCACTGTACTCCAGTCTGGGTGACAAAGCAAGACGCCATCTCAAAACAAAAAAGAATTTTGACTGAGGAAAAGCTCTATGAACAAGGCCCTTGTCTCCAACATTGTAGTTACCCTTCTAAAATGCTCATAAATTTTCAAAAATGGTTTTAATCATCTAAAATTTCATTTCACTGTATTTGAGCCTCTAACTTTCACATTTAATTTAATCTAAAATGCCGTAACTTTTGAGTTCACATTTTATAGACAGAATGGTTTTCCTGAGTTCTTCTGGGTTTTCTCCCATCTTAGTGACTGCAAGTTTGTCAGTTGTGGGAACTATGTTTTACATCTGCTTTGATTTTCCCTGTACAGTACATGAACTAGAGATGATATGGCAATAAATTTTCCTGTGAATACACACTAAATGAGGTAAAGGCAATTCCCGAATGCAGTAAACCATTTTCTTTTTCCAAAAGATACCATAATAGATTGTTCACCAGAACAACTCCAAACATAAATACCTGCAGGTGCTGCTTTTTTGCATCACTTCTGCCCTGTGATAGCCAGACAGCTTGCAAAATCCATCATTGCTGTACACAATAGGCCAGTCCACTATCTGAGCATTCCCCAACACAAAATTAGTATCTGTTAAAAAAAAAAAAAAGGGAAAAAAGGGCACATGAGGCAACACATTAGTTGAGATTCAATGAGGACATAAATAATGTCAAGCAATCCAGATATTTCTGATTCCCTCCAAAACATAGACTCTTGAACAGAAATGTCGCCCTGTAAGGAATATAAAACAACATTGTTTTAGAAGTGAATATCTTGAATGCAAGTGCTAACTTAGGTCACTGTACTCCAAAAAGAAGTTAGGAAAGAAAGCATACTTAACCAACCAACCAACAAATCCTGCAGAAACTCAGTGGATTCCCATGAGACATATTTAAGTCCTAATTTTTCATCCCAGTGAAGGTATACCAATATTACAGAGCAAGAGAGAGCCCAAAAGTAATTTATTCTGAGCTCTGTCCAGCATCTTAGCCTTTTCAGTCTTTTGGCCAGAAGCTAAAAATTTGCCTTCTTGACCCTAACTAGGATTTGCCCAACCTAGGAGGGCATCTCAGGAAGGCACAGAAAGGAGGCTAAACACTTCCTCATGGACACACACAGCACCATGGAACCCTCCCCTTGGTGAGGAATAGTAACTAGACTCTCTTAATACTAGAGCTTTGTAGAGGCTGATCAAGATGCTCACACAACAGGACCTTCTTGCTAATTTTGAAATTCTTGCTGATTTTGAAACGCAGCCACAGAGCTGCATTTTGGGGCTCTGTCACAGAGCAGCAGCCTACCACACACTCATAATGCAGGGTTTAGGTAGGCTAGTTGTGTTTGGCCAGCTTAGGGTATTCTCACTACTTCCCACATTTTTGAAAATCAGTCGTCAATACTTTTTATGCTCAGGATATCAACTGTCCTTCCTTTCTTTTCAAGCATTTCAATTAAGCAAATAACATCCAGAACTTAAATGTAATCATTATTTTAGTTTGGCCCTTCCTTTCCACAGAAGACCCACCCACTTCCCCCACCCTCCAAAAACAGAAACAATACAAACAGCCTTCTTTAGTTGTAAACTGGAGAGGGTATTATGTGTGTCTGTGTGTGTGTGTGTGTGTATACACATACTACATAGAGTGAAATAATAGTGATATATTATATCATCATTTAATTGAAAGCATTTACAGTTTTTTCACAATATGGGTAACCATCCCTTCAGATAGGCTTCTCCACCCTTCTTAGATGAGTTTATTCTTGATTTGGCAGGCTTGGGAAAATGATTCCACTTCATGCAGACACCACTGAAGACAAAAGACTTGGAAGAAGACAGGGCCTGAGAGGAGATAAGGGTTGTGGTGAGCCAAGACCTTACAAAGGAGGGCAAGGGAGGAGGAATTACTAAATACAGCAATCTATTCTTGAGAATGCTTTGATCTATTTAAAAGGAACAGAAAATACAACATTTATGATGTGAATCTATAAAGCTACTATTTTTATAAATATGCTTTTAATGAAAATCTACAACCAGTCCTTCCCTCCATCTCTCCCATATATACATAAATTGTTCTTGAGTGCCAACAGGTGCCAAGCACAATGCAAGACCCTGGGGGTCTCCAGATTGATAAGAAATGGTCCCTGCACTCAAGGAACTTAGCAAGACAAATAGATATGTCCACAACTAACTAAAGAAACAGGTAAGAAAACAATGAACTCTGAGAGAGGTAAAGGGCTGCGTCTCAGAGGGGATAATATTTGAACTTGCTCTAGTCTAAAAGGATGAGTAAGATTTATTTAAACTTTTTGAATGCCTAAAAGGTAACTGGCACAGATAATACAAAAACAATAGATATAGAAATTAAAATATGGTCACTGTCTTCATGAACTCAAGAGGGTGTGAGAGGAAGGGAACATTCCAGGCAGAGGATCCAGCATGGGCAAAGGCATGGCAGCATGGAACACAGTGCAGGCTAGGGTAGACAAAGGGCAGCCAGGAAGAGTGGCAGGATGAGTAACTGAAGACTAGACTGGGAAGGATCTGGAATGAATAAAGTCAGAGAGCTTTGATTTTATCGTAGGGGCAGAATAATCCTTCATATTGGTCTTCTCTCCCTGAATAAACTCACATTTCCTGAACTGAATAGCTTAGACTTAAAAGTAGTACAGTATTTACTAAATTACTCCCAAGTGTATATGAAGCCTAGTTGGTTTGACCATCTCTTGTTAAATCCTGAAATAGTAGTTAATTTCCCTCAAAACACCTAGAGCAGGAGGAAAAACTGAGTGTGCTTTATCATGGCTAATGCTCCACTGAGATTATCTATGCGGAAAGAGGGAAGAATAGCCAGTTATAGATAATGAGTTGACCACATATGTTTATTTTCTCTTGTATACCAGACCCCAGTAAAATAAAAGTAAACAAATTAAAAATGTAAAAATCCACAAAAATGAAAATTAGGTTAAAAAGAATGAACCAAAAAAAAACTGGGGAAGAAGCAGCAATATTATAGGAAACAGAGAAGAACTTTAAAAAAAAAATCTAATTGGTATCCTTAGAGAGATTCAAGAAGTATTACATCCACAAAACAAAAACAGAATGCTATGAGGAAAAAAAAATAAGGGAACAAGAACTCTTATAAATTAAAATGAATAGCAATTAAATATTCAACATGAATTTTAGAAGATAAAGTCTTACAGAAAGTAGTACAGAAAGAGAAAGAGACAAGAAACAGAGAAGAAAAAAAAAAAGACATGAGGATCAGTCCAACAGGAAAAACATATACCCTAAGAGGAACAGCAAAAAGAACAACATGAGAAAAGGCCAGAGGACATTCTCTTTAAAATTAAAACAATAAAATGTGAGTGTATAATGAAGATATTTTCATATATGCAAAGATTAGGGGAAATTATTTACCACATATTCTTTCTTTGGCAGTTACTTGAGGATGTGTACCAGCAAAATGAGGGAATAAAGCAAAAAGGAGGACAACATGGAAACCAGGAAAAAATAGCTCCAAATGTAGAAAGCAAGGAAGAGAGCTAGTAGACAGTATTCAATACTGAACAATTCAGAGACTAGAAGTTCCAAAAGAGAATTATCTGGGGGTAAAGGAGGTTAGGATTTGATTATATTCTTGATCATTTAGAACAACATTATCAATAAAGGTATGGCAGGAAAGGGAATTAGAAACATCAAAGGAAAACAAAAACCAAAATCTCATGGTCACATCATTGTAGGAATAAGGTAAGCACCTTATTAATTTTGAATTTTAAAACCAATACATAATAAAGGATGGAATATTTAATTATCATAAGTATCTGAATGTAATCTCATTGATTCTGATGCTAAAAATACAGGTGATAAAAGTTTAGGGAGAGCAAAGAGAACAATGATGAAGCAAATAAGAGATAGTGTGTACAGCTGATTTAAAAAATGGTATAAATATTTTACTTAAAGTTGCAAAGATAAATAAGAGAGTAATATAATTATATTAGGAGGAGGGGTAGGGAGTAAGATTAAGTGAGCTAAAACCTCAACTAATTAACAGAAGTCAACAGATAATATCCAGAATGGATAAATCTATAAATAGCTCTAATGCATGTTATTTAGAGACATGGCAGAAACTATAAGAAGAAAGCTAAAATTAGAAGCCATGGCCTCTGGTGAGTAGGATGGGAGGAGGGACAAGGCATAGAATGGTTATTTACATTACATTACAAGCTCTTCTGCTTGATTTTTGTAAACATGAACTTACTGACTTTGATAAAAATAACTATGTACTTAATTTTAATTAATTTAATCATAAAAGATTAATTTATTGATTAAATTTTTTACTTACTGAAAAATGAGAGCAAGATAGATTTCAAGCTCCAGATATCACTGCAAGTGCTCACAAAAATGTTCTGATAACCTTTTAAAGTGGTTTATCCTTTCGTAAGCATACCCTCAGTCCCTGGTGTGCATATTACAGCCCCATCTAAGAAAAACCAAACCCACCGCCTCTGCCCAGCGGTCCCACCGTCTGGGAAGTCAGGAGCGCCTCTGCCCGGCCCCCCCACCGTCTGGGAAGTGAGGAGCACCTCTGCCCGGCCACCGCATGGTCTGGGAAGTCAGGAGCGCTTCTGCCCGGCCCCCACCCTTTGCCACCGTCTGGGAAGTGAGGAGCCCCTCTGCCCGGCCGCCCATCGTCTGGGAAGTGAGAACGGCCTCTCCTTGGCCGCCAAACTGCTGGTAAGTGAGGAGCACCTCTGCCCGGCCCCCCGCCCCGTCTGGGAAGTGAGGAGCGCCTCTGCCCAGCCACCTCACTGTCTGGGAAGTTGGAGCGCCTCTGCCCGGCCCCCGCCCCGTCTGGGAAGTGAGGAGCCCCTAACCTGGCCGCTGCACTGTCTGGGAAGTGAAGAACGCCTCTGCCCGCCCTCCCCCACCCCACCCAACCCCAGTCTGGGAAGTGAGGAGCGCCTCTGCTTGGCTGCCCACCATCTGGGAAGTGAGGAGTGCCTCTGCCTGGCTACTGCACCGTCTAGGAAGTGAGGTGCCCCTCTGCCTGGCCGCTGTACTGTCTGGGAAGTGAGGAGCACCTCTGCTTGGCTGCCCACCATCTGGGAAGTGAGGAGTGCCTCTGCCTGGCTACTGCACCGTCTAGGAAGTGAGGTGCCCCTCTGCCTGGCCACTGCACTGTCTGGGAAGTGAGGAGCACCTCTGCTTGGCTGCCCACCATCTGGGAAGTGAGGAGCGCCTCTGCCTGGCTACTGCACCATCTAGGAAGTGAGGTGCCCCTCTGCCTGGCCGCTGTACTGTCTGGGAAGTGAGGAGCGCCTCTGCCCAGCCACCTCACCGTCTGGGAAGTTGGAGCGCCTCTGCCCCGCCACTGCACCGTCTGGGAAGTGAGGAGCATCTCTGGCCTGCCTCCGCCCCGTCTGGGAAGTGAGGAGCCCCTAACCTGGCCGCTGCACTGTCTGGGAAGTGAGGAGCTCCTCTGCCCCATCCCCCACCGCCCACCCCCCTCCACCCCTCCACCCCTCCCCCGGGGCCCGGGTCTGGGAAGCGAGGAGTGCCTCTGCTTGGCCGCCCCACCGTCTGGGAAGCAAGGAGCTCCTCTGCCCCGCCGCTGTGCAACTCTCCAAGTATGAAGTGACAGCCTTGTGTGTGATCTTTCTGCCCTCCCCAAGTTTGCATTTTCGACATTAAAGTTTACTTTTTATTAAATAAATAAAAAAAAAAAAAAAAAAAAAACAAGCCCACTAGCATCTTCTCTGACTTTAGTAAGGGAAACAGAAAAATAGGAAGTGCAGTAGGAATAGAATCATCAGCCTATCACCCACTCAGAAGATTCTCACCATAGAATTTAAAGTTCCAAAATAGTTTCCTCTCACTACTAACCCAAGCAAGCAATTATAGCTCTAGGGAGCAAGATTCCCTTGTCACTCCATGATAGAAGGTCTAGGAATTCCCTCTTTACCCAAGGAGTTAGAGAGAATGGAAGAAAGATTTCTAGTCCCAGCCACAAAGCCGTCTGCCTCCAACAGTATAGAAATTCTTCCCCCATCCCTTCCCCATTCCTAGCACGCACGTTCTCTTCTATTTTAAACCACAAATAATCGACCTGTAAATTACCTTCCAGAACACAATCTGTTTATAAGTTAGGGGCTACCCATATAAATACCATAACACCACATATATCATTAGGAATTAAGGGATTCCACATAAGTGAGATTTTAGATATTAATAATAATGGGTACCATTTATTGATAATTACTCTTTACCAGGTACTGTTTTAAGTACTTTACCATATATCATGGTTTTTTTCAACCTTTACATGAATCTTTGTGAAGAATTATTACTTTACTGAAGGAAGTCTCAGGGATTTCATCATTTTACTCATGAGGAACCTGAGTCTCTGAGGATGCACAATAACCATTTATACCAGGGTAAAGTTGGGATTTGAACCTAGGTCTATGTGACTTCAAAATTTATGCTTTTAATCATTATATTACATGGTCTGCTTATGCCATTGGGTGCTAAAATCAGACCATTTCTATGAATACCGTTATTGTAGTCATACATTGTTATTCTGCCTTCTGATATACAATGATGCCCTCTGGAAATTTTGATGTGAGTAGAAGTCATTGTCCCACTTCTAAATGCTTGGGTTCTCCTGTCTATCTTTTCAATGTTTGGTCTCTTCCTTGAAGACTACCATCTTTTACTTCTTAAAACTTAGTGTGCTGGCCAATTTCTATAACAGTCCTGCTCCCATACAATGGAAGAGGAGAAGGAACAGGGGAGAAGAGGGTAAACTTTGTGCCTGGCTCCCCATTTGACACTCAGGGGTGAGGAAGAATACCACACTGGGTGACCCAAATCAGCTGCACAGGAAACTTGGCCATGTTAGCACTCCTGAGCCTCCCTCAGTTCCCATGGAGTCTGGAAAGAATCCAGAAGTCCCCAACTGCCCGTGGCTGCTGAAGTTGAATAAGCAGATGGTTATCACAGTGGAGTGAGCTGACCTTATAGCCAAGGGCTATATGTCAACCTACCCAATCCTAGGATCAACTGGGGTGGGTGGGGGTGTTCAGGGGAGGACGGTGAGTCAGGCAAATATCAGACATGAGCTGGAGGCCAGTAATAGCCTACATTAGATCAAGTCTCTCTCTCTCTCTCTGTCTCTCTCTCTCTCTCTCTCTCACACACACACACACACACACACACACACATACACACACACACAGAGAAAGAGAGAATATGTGTGTTGGATTGGGGCAGAGGTACCAAGTTTCATTCAATCCAAGAGAATGGAACATAAGTTCGCCAGCTGTGGACTGGAGCCCCACATATCAGCTGAGCACCCAGTGACCAGCAGAGCAGGGACCATTGCCAGAGACCCAAGGAACAAGAGGGGAAAAATAGGGCTCTCCATCCAGGGCTCTGAGGCTCCAGATACTATGCAAGGGCCACTTGTTTCCACCCCACACACCATCTTAGAAGCAATGAGGTGGGTAGAAGTGCAATCTGAACCCACCCAGAAGAGACTGAGTTACCCAAAAGACTATTTAAACTGGAAGAGCTCGAGATACCACTTTATAGTCCCCTCAACCACATTCCCTTTGCTATTCAGTAAGATGGGAGGGAATGGCAAAGGGGAAGATTAGATCTGTTAAATAAAATAAAGAAATAAGCCTATGTATGTCTGAGTAAATTTGCCAGCGTGCCTCTAGAAGTACGTCTGCCATAAGAATAAACAGGCTGAGAAAATGGGAATCTCCTGAATAAAGTACATAAATTCCAGTACGAGGACACTATGACAGCAACTTTGCTTAGCCAAGGTTTCTTAATTCCCCCAGGTGGTTGGCCATATTCCCCATGGTTGAGAATGCCAAATAAGAGAGCTAAAGTGACGCGACACAGAGTTTCTAGCCAAATGCACACAGATGGGCGTTCTACATCCAAACATAAATGACTCTGGGATTATTTACTATTTTTTGCACTCAGTAAACAGAAACCTAATTTTAAGCTAAGCAAAACATAATTAGCAAAGTAACCCACTGCTTGGACAAAATATCAAATAATATATAATCTCCTACATAAATAAATGGAAATATATCCCATGTTCATGTACTGGAAGAATTAATAATTCTTTTTTTGGGGGGTGTGGGAGTTGGTTTTTTGTTTGTTTGTTTTTTGTTTTTTGTTTTTTTTGAGACAGGGTCTTGCTCTGTTGCCCAGGCTAGAGTGCAGTGGTGCAATCTCGGCTCACTGCAACCTCTGCATCCCGGTTTCAACCTCCGCCTCCCGGATTCAAGCAATTCTCCTGCCTCAGCCTCCTGAGTAGCTAGGACTATAGACACACACCACCATGACCAGCTAATTTTTGTACTTTTAGTAGAGACGAGGATTCACCATGTTGGTGAGGCAGTTCTCGAACTCCTAACATCAAGTGATCCACCGGCCTTGGCCTCCCAAAGTGCTGGGATTACAGGCATGAGTCACCGCACCTAGCAAGAATTAATATCGTTAACATGTTCAGACTACCTGTGATGGTTAATACTGAGTGTCAAATTGATTGGATTTAAGGATGCAAAGTATTAATCCTTGGTATGTCTGTGAGGGTGTTGCCAAAGGAGATTAACATTTGAGTCAGTGGGCTGGGGAAGGCAGACCCACCCTTAATCTGGTGGGCACCATCTAATCAGCTTCCAGCAAATATAAAGCAGGCAGAAAAACGTAAAAAGGCAAGACTGCTCTAGCCTTCCAGACTACATCTTTCTCCTGTGCTGGATGCTTCCTGCCCTCAAACATCGGTCTCCAAGTTCTTCAGTTTTGGGACTCGGACTGGCTCTCCTTGCTCCTCAGCTTGCAGACAGGCTATTGTGGGTCCTTGTGATTGTGTAAGTTAATACTTAATAAACTCCCCTATATATATATATATGTATATATATATATACACACACACACACACATACACATCCTATTAGTCCTGTCCTTCTAGAGAACCCTGACTAATACACTACCCAAAGTGATCTACAGATTAAATGCAATCCTTATCAGAATTCCAAGGACATTTCAGCCAGGCATGGTGGCTCACATGTGTAATCCCAACACTTTAAGAGGCCAAGGTGGGAGAATTGCTTGAGCTCAGGAGTTTGAGACCAGCCTGGGCACCAAAGTTAGCTTGTCTCCAATAAAAACTTTTTAAAAATTAGCCGGGCACAATGGCATGTGCCCATAGTCCCAGATACTCGGGAGGCTGAGGTGGGAGGATCACTTGAGCAAAAGAGGTCAAGGCTGCAGTGAGCTATGAGCATGCCACTGCAATCCAGCCTGGGCAACAGAGCAAGACCCTGTCTCTATAAAAACAAACGAATCAATGACATTTTTCACATAAATAGAAAAAATATCCTAAAATTTATATGGAATGCTAAACTCATTCAAAAACACCCTCTCAGAAACACTGAGAATAATGTTAGACTAAATATCTGGGCACGCCATGGCCCACTGATAAAATTAACTACCACAAACACCAAAGCCAAGGCTCTTAACAATATAACTTCTGCAGTAGTCTTTAATGGAATCAGCAGAGCCACAACTTGCAAATTTTCAATGCCCTCACAGTCCTAGTAGTACTCTGAGTTTGGTAGGAGTGAGCACCATTTCAAAGCTCTATTTTGATAAAGAGTTTTTATGCAGGCAATACTTACCTTTCCACACCTGGGGTTTCCACTGAGAGAAAGGAGTGTCCACCCACCCCTAGATAGAAGAAGTATTGGGGTGAATTCTTTTGTCCCCCTTTTCATCCCCATCACTTTTACCTTCATAATCAGACGGACCAAACTGTTGGTAGCTACATCAAGAGCAAGAGGAATCACTCTGTTTGTCTTGGTCTGTCATACTTGCCTATGCCCCAGCCTGGTGGGGAAAGAGAGGGTTTGAGCAACTTGTCTCCTTGTGGTACTCAGAACCTATAATACTTGTGACAGGCCCTGCCAGACCTGTGCTCAACTTCAGCTTCTTAGCCTAGGAGTAGGTCAGTAACTCATGGTCTAGAAGCCAGGGTATAAGCTTGAGAAGGGAAACAAATGGCACCACTATCTTCTCTAATCCAATATAATAGTAATGGAGCTGATTCCGTATTTTGACCCTCATTTGGCTCCTTCAGTCTTCCATTGAGTAAAAATCTGAAGGGAATGAGAGTAAAATGGGCTCCAGCACATTAATAAGAATCAAACCTCCAAGATTCCAAGGGTATTGAGAGGTCACCCACTTTCTTGATTCCTAGCACTGCTGAATCACACTGGTGAGACCCTTTATGAATACCTTCAGAGGAAGAGGCAATATGGCCACTTTTAGAACACTGCTGATGCTGTGTAAGCTCTTTTCACTGTCTTTCTTTTGTGTGTATGTGGAGAAGACCAGACACTTACACATCTCAGGTCTCCTACTCTATGTTAGGTAATACAGTCAAAGCCTCATTATAACCAGTTAAGATTATATTGGTAGCCCCCAATAAGCCCTGCCTCCTTGCATTCACGCCTTGTGTAGCTCTCTCCCCCTTGCATCTGGGTGGCCTATGATTTGCTTCAACCAACAGAATGCAGTAGACTTGGTGCTGTGCCCATTGCAGGTGTAAGCCTTAAGATCTGGTGACTTCTGCTCCTGTGTTCTTGGGAGCCCTGAGCTTCCATGTGAAAAGTCCGGCCATGCTACAGGAGAGGCCATAAGGAGACTGTGCAACCAGAGCCAGCCTAGAGAGAAAGAGGTCCTGAGATTACATGGAGAAGAACTGAGGAATCTAGTCAACAATGAAAACCAATAGAAGAATGAGGGGTAAAAGATACTCTATTAATCTACTCTTCCCCTTCCCCAGCAATCCCTAGGCTTCCCAGAGCACCATTTGTGAGAAGAAAGGGGATGATAACAAGTTGAATTCTAGTCACAGTGTTGTCCCTAATGAGCTGTAGGTAAGTCACTTCAGCTCTGTGGATCTGGTGGGGGACAGGGTCAACTAAATCTCCATGCTTCTGGCAGCAATAAAATATGACTGTCTAAGTAATCAGATGTATAACAAAGAACAAATCAGATGATGCCCCACAACCTGCAAGCCATGCATCCATATGGAGTAATCAAACCGGTCATGACCATGAAATATCACTTCTCTAAATGCTGGACTCTGTGCAGCCTGGGTCATTTCAAAAACAGCAGAAACACCCTCTAAATGTAATACCCTAATTCCAGGTGAACCATGTTGTATCAGGCTTTTGCTCAATGGAATTGTTTGGATTTGGGATATGATGTGATGTGCAGTATTAATATTAAAATGTGCCATGTTGTCAAATGAGTCAACAATAGAAATAAATCACATATTGGTGGGTCCATTTATATATGGGGAAAATGCCTAAATGTGTCTTTGAAAACAAATATGCTATTGATGCACACACATACCACACACGTATGTGTATATATGTATCTTTTACAAGTAGAATATGTAACTTCCAATCAGCCAATAACCCATTCTGAAGCATCAAACCTGCCTCCAAATTTGTATTTTCTGAACTTATCAAGTCCTTCCTACATTGTTCAGTAAAATGTGTAGGTTCAACCTGGCTGCCCTTGCCATGATTTATTCATTGGCTCTCATCTGAAAGTTCCCCTGCGTCCCAAGTCTTTGATGCAAATTAGCCAGATTCTACTGCCGCCTTCTGATGCTTTTTTACCCCCTAAGGGTCTATAGCTGCAAGAGTGTGTGCAATTAAGTGTAAGGTTTCCTAAATTCAGCCTTCCTCAGCCCACATAGTTTTCCTCTGGTTCATAGCATAAAACAAACATTCTCTAAAAATTTAAAAGACTCCCTTCCTCCCCCTACTGTGTAAAGTTTCTCCAACTGATGAGGCATGAGCCAAACTACACTGCAGTAGTCAGAAGTGTCAAAATCATTCCAAGTCTGCCATTTGCCCATAAAGCATAACACAGAGATATTCTCAAGAGAAATTATTAAAAATTGCTTTTCATCAAAATTACGACAAATAACAAAGGAAAAACTAACTGAAGCAATGACTTAGAAAAGTGACTCAGTTTGGCAATTACGCAGATAAAAGCTACATTCAGCTCGCAGTTCACACAAGTGTACTGTTCCCTGCCAACACTGGTTATTTGGAGGGCTACAGTAAGTATTTCACAATACACGTCTAATAACTTGAGATATTTTACTTAGAAGAGCACATGTCTTCCTGACATTTTGGAAATAGAATTATAGATTTCTAAGGATATCAGTACTCTTACAAAAAGCAAGTTTGAGGCCGGGCGCGGTGGCTCATGCCTGTAATCCCAGCACTTTGGGAGGCCGAGGCAGGCAGATCACGAGGTCAGGTGATGGAGACCATTCTGGCTAACATGGTGAAACTCCATCTCTACTAAAAATACAAAAAATTAGCCGGGCATGGTGGCGGGCATCTGTAGTCCCAGCTACTCAGGAGGCTGAGGCAGGAGAATGGTGTGAACCCAGGAGGCAGAGCTTGCAGTGAGCCAAGATCGTGCCACCACACTCCAGCCTGGGTGACAGAGGGACACTCCATCTCAAAAAAGTTTTAAAAAAAGCAAGTTTGAGTAAAAGTATACTTTCCTTCTTTTAGAATAATTAAAGAATTGAAAGATAATGATTGAGATAAATGATGAGAATAAGTGCTGTGTATTTTCACTAGACAAAGACCAGAAAACAATAGTTTGATTTACCTGAACCTAAATAAAATCCATACCAGAAATTACTTCAAAAAAAAAAGACAGATCAAGGTTATTTAGGAGAATGGAGAGGATGGAATGAGAAACAAGAAATTAAATCAGTATGATATACCCAAATAAAACATCTAAAATCTTAACATCAGCAAAAGTCATCTTGTGGCTCTATTGTGATTTTCAACAATAAAGTCTCATGAAAATGACTCTTCTAAATTGCCAAAGGCCTAATCTTTGCAGAAAACAAACGGAACTCTCAAGAGATTCAATAGTTATTTGCTCTGTCTGATCTTAATATCCTACAGAAATACATTTTTTATTAAGTCAGTAAATTACAATGGAGAGAGAGATTTCAATTTCAAAAGCAAACTCAAATACCTCATTTACTGGGTAGTTACCCCTAAGTACATGATTTCAAAAGCATGACCTCCATCTTCATTCAGCATCAAATTAATTTTAAAACAATAAAAACAGATGAACCAGTTTCACAAGAAGTATGGAAGAGAATGAAAATGTGTTGAAATATAGAGACTTTTATTACTGAATGATATTTTACTTAAGAAATAAGAGATCAGTGATATCTTGAATTACTGCTAAGAAATATTTGTGTAATCAATTGTTTAAAAATGTTTCAATAGATTAATCAATCCATTGAATTGATTGATTATATATATACATTTTTTTTTTTTTTTTGAGACAGGGTTTTGCTCTTGTCCCCCAGCATGGAGTGCAATGGTGCAATCTCGGCTCACTGCAACCTCTGTCTCCTGGGTTCAAGCAATTCTCCTGCTTCAGCCTCCTTACTAGCTGGAGTTACAGGTGTATGCCACCATGCCCAACTAATTTTTATATTTTTAGTAGAGACGGGATTTCACCATGTTGGCCAGGCTGGTCTCAAACTCCTGACCTCAGCTGATCCACCTGCCTCAGCCTCCCAAAATGCTGGGATTACAGGTGTTAGCCACCATGCCTGGCCTGATTCAATAGATTTTATTCTCATTTTTACAGTCTTAATAATTTCTTAATGCACATCTATATATATTATAGACAATTTGAACAAAAAGTCTTAGACCATAATTGAATAACACAAAAAATATCATTCTCAGAACTCAAAAAAAGTGACTCAAAATAAGCAATACAAAAATATTAATGAGTACTAGAAAAAGAGGGGTTTTTTGGTAAGTTGGCTTTACATTTGTCTACTGTGTTATTTCAAGGAAGTCAAGTTGTCTCTGTTTGCAGACGACATGATTTTATGTTTAGAAAACACCATCATCTCAGCCCAAAAACTTCTTGAATTGATTAGCAACTTAAGCAAAGTCTCAGGATACAAAATCTATGTGCAAAAATCACAAGCATTCCTTTACACCAACAATAGGCAAGCAGAAAGCCAAATCATGAACGAACTCCCATTCACAATCACTGCAAACTGAATAAAATACCTAGGAATACAGCTAACAAGGGATGTGAAGGACCTCTTCAAGGAGAACAAACTACTGCTCAGGGAAATAAGAGAGGACACAAACAAATGGAAAAAAATTCCATCCTCATGGATAACAAGAATCAATATCATGAAAATGGCCATACTGCCCAAAGTAATTTATAGATTCAATGCTATTCTCATCAAACTACCATTGACATTATTCACAGAATTAGAAAACACTATTTTAAATTTCATGTAGAATCAAAGAAGACCCTATATAGCCAAGACAATCCTAAGCAAAAAGAACAAAACTGGAGGCATCACACTACCTGACTTCAAACTACACTACGAGGCTATAATAACCAAAACAGCATGGTACTGGTACCAAAACAGACATATAGACCAATGGAGCAGAACAGAGACCTCAGAAATAAAACCACACATCTACAACCATCTGCTCTTCAACAAACCTGAAAAAAACAAGCAATGAGGAAAGGATCTCCTATTCAGTAAATGGTGCTGGGAAAACTGGCTAGCCATATGCAGAAAACTGAAACCAGACCCCTTCCTTACACCTTATACAAAAATTAACTCAAGATGTAACTCAAGACTTAAATGTAAAACCCAAAACCATAAAAACCCTAGAAGAAAACCTAGGCAATACCATTCAGGACATGGGCATGGGCAAAGACTTCATGACAAAAACGCCAAAAGCAATTGCAACAAAAGCCAAAATTGACAAATGGGATCTGATTAAACTAAAGAGCTTCTGCACAGCAAAAGAAACTATCATCAGAGTGAATAGATAGCCTACAGAATGGGAGAAAATTTTTGCAATCTAGTCATTTGACAAAGGTCTAATATCCAGAATTTACAAGGAAATTAAACATATTTACAAGAGAAAAACAAACAACCCCGGCCAGGCGTGGTAGCTCACGCCTGTAATCCCAGCACTTTGGGAGACCCAGGTGGGCGGATCACGAGGTCAGGAGATCGAGACCATCCTGGCTAACACGGTGAAACCCCGTCTCTACTAAAAAAATACAAAAAAATTAGCTGGACACGGTGGCGGGCACTTGCAGTCCCAGCTACTCGGGAGGCAGAGGCAGGAGAATGGCGTGAACCTGGGAGGCGGGGCTTGCAGTGAGCCAAGATCATGCCACTGCACTCCAGCCTGGGCGACAGTGAGACTCCGTCTCAAAAAAAAAAACCATCGAAAAGTGGACAAAGGATATGAACAGACACTTCTCAAAATAAGACATTTATGTAGCCAACAAACATATGAAAAAAACTCAACATCACCGATCATCAGAGAAATGCAAATCAAAACCACAATGAGACACTATCTCATACCAGTCAGAATGGTGGTTACTAAATAGTCAAGAAAAAATAGATGCTGGCCAGGCTGTGGAGAAATAGGAACGCTTTTACACTGTTGTTGGGAATGTAAACTAGTTCAACCATTGTGGAAGACAGTGTGGCGATTCCTCAAGGATCTAGAACCAGAAATACTATTTGACCCAGCAATTCCATTACTGGGTATATGCCCAAAGGAATATAAGCCATTCTACTATAAAGACACATGCACATGCATGTTTATTGCAGCACTATTTACAATAGCAAAGATGTGGAACCAACCCAAATGCCCATCAATGATAGACTGGATAAAGAAAATGTGGTACATATACACCATGGAATACTATCCAGCCATAAAAAGGAATGAGATCATGTCCTTTGCAGGGACATGGATGAAGCTGGAAGCTATCATCCTCAGAAAACTAACCTGGGGACAGAAGACCAAACACTGCATGTTCTCACTCATAAGTGGGAGTTGAACAATGAGAACACATGGACACAGAGAGGGGAACAACACACACCAGGTCCTGTTGGGGGTGGGGGTAGAAGGGAGAGAGCTTACAGAATGGGTCGATAGGTGCAGCAAACCACCATGACACATGTATATGTATGTAACAAACCTGCACGTTCTGCATATGTATCCTTTTTTTTTTAGAAGAAATAAAGAAAAAAACAGAAACATTAAAAACAAAAAAGACTTGGACAGGGTATAGCACCAGAGTGAATGGGAGGAATCTCAGAACAGCTTTGTTTAATACAACAAATATTTGAGTATCTACTCTGTCCCAGGCATGGCAGGAGTGTAGGGGACACACTTGTCCATTTTTAAGCTATGCCCAGTTTCCCTATATGGCTTTATCTGCCCCACTCTACATATCACAAAACTCCATGTCCTACCCCCTCCACCCAGGCCCCAGTCACAGAAAACTAGGCCTGGAGTGGACCGCTGGCCAAACAACCAATAGTCAGGGCTGGGCCAATAAGATTCTCTCCCCAGAACAAAACTCAGACACTAAAGCTGAGAGATCTGTAGAGTTGAGCAGGTATCTTTGACCACCTTGTTTCTAAGGTGAGTAAATGGAGAAAACTGGTCTTGAGAGAGAAACAGGGAGCTCAGATACACAGGGGAGCATCTATGAGGCCATTTGAAGGGAGAACTGGACAGAAAGACAGGCAGATGGGCAGATATGGATAGGTGGAGGCAGAGACAGCAGAGACAGACAGCAAAGAGACATGGACAGTGGCAGAGACAGCAAAAACAGAGACAGTGATGAAGACAGATGGAAGACGGTGACAGACGGTGACACAGACTAAAGGTAGACAGTGACAGAGACAGGCAGGAAGACAGACAGATGGAGAAAGGAGAGGAGAGAGCGAGGGAATGAAGGGACATAGGGCATGGGGCAAAGGCCAGGCCCACAGAGTACAAAAGCATGAGCCGAGAGCAAGAGACCAATAATAGCAAGACTGAGAGAGTGAGCCGCGGGAGTGAAAGACCAGGAGAGGAGAGGACATGAGAGACTGAGGGGAGAGAATGAGACCAAAGGCCAGAGGGAGATACAAAAAGAGAAGAAGAAAACCAGGAAACCCGGAAATATGGTGTTACTAGGGACACGTGAGAGGTAGGGATTGGGAAGCTGGAGGGGAGGAGACATTTTAAATGAAGAGAAGATGAGGAAAGTGGCCACTCAATGAAGTCAGGCTGGAGCACTGTCCCGGAGTGTTCCAGCCAGGTGGGAAAGCATAAAGGAGAATTTCATCTGACAGGAGAGTGACTAGAATTTAGGAGCTCTTTTTCATTTAAAAAGTATCAGCTATCATTTCAAAATAGCAAATGCAGTATACACACTTATTTCCTCATTCTTGAATGATGAAAAAAGATGGAAATGGAACATGAAAGTATTTTATCGAGCTTGTAGGTAACCAACTCACTGAACTGAAAAGCAAGGGCAGGCACATACTGCCTGCTTCAGACAGAACACAGGTGTTTTTGTGTGTTGAAAGGAGTACCTAAGTGCACATCCCCTCACCAAATTCACCCCCATGACTGAATGGTCTGCACAAAATGTTAAGAAACCACTTTTGGCTCATGCCTATAATCCCAGCACTTTGGGAGGCCGAGGCGGGCAGATCACAAGATCAGGAGATTAAGACCATCCTGGCCAACACAGTGAAACCCCGTCTCTACTAAAATATGAAAAATTAGCTGGGCGTGGTGGCGGGTGCCTGTAGTCCCAGCTGCTCAGAAGGCTAAGCCAGGGAAATCGCAAGCCGAGATCGCGCCACTGCACTCCAGCCTGGCGACAGAGCAAGACTCGGTCAAAAGAAAGAAAGAAAGAGAGAGAGAGAGAGACCACTTTATCCAAAGAACAAGTAATTGGCTCTCTCAGCCAGGGTCTTGGCAGCAAAATATGACATACTCAATGGGTAATTTGAGGAATGTTTAATAAAGGAACTATTTACAAAGGTGTGGGAGAGGTATAGGCAGTAGTGTGTTAGCAAGCTAACTCTGGGAAGAAAAGAGTCCCGATTTATAACACTGGCCAATTTCTAAGGTGTAAATACCTTGCACCTTGGTATAAGCAGTTTTCAAGCTTCCAAAGTGAAGTTCCTGAACCAAGAATAAGGAACAGATGCACATAATCAGATCTTAAGAGGTAGAACCAGCCAATTGCAGCCTGCTCCAGCACACCACTTAGGAAAACCCCAAGACATTGTGCAGTACCCCAGGGTTAGTAACAGCTGGAAGCTTTAAGTCTCTAACCCTACCCAAACCCAAAGAGAGCAAGCTAGAGACATAACCTTTAATCAGGGGAAAACAGCTAGGCTAAGATGACCTCGCAGGAAAGAACAACAAGAATAAGGACTACAACCTCTCTCTTGCTTCCCATTTCGTGTGGTGTACCCCACAAGCTGAAGGCAGCCAAAAGCCAGAAAGCAAGGGAGCCTACAGGTGTACTCTATACAGGTCAGCCTCCCAGCCTCCAACAAGAGACAGGCTGGTAAGGAAGAGTGTGGTTCTAGGGAGGCAAACAGAAACTATTCAGTACCTTGGCCCACACAGAGGCTTAAAGCACAGCCTTAATGATGATGGCATAGAAGTCTAATATATGCAGTCCCCATAATGCTGAGAGGAAAAGAAAGCAAATAAAATAAAAACTTAAATATCAATTTAATGGAAATAAATATAGTCTTATCACTCAAATTAACTCCATTTTCTTTACATGGCCCTGAAGTTCTAGCCTAAAACACATTTTCCAACTTCACTCTTAATACAAATCAAAGTTAAGCCATAGATAATTATCAGTAAAATTTGCCAATACGGTATCAACTTTCAAATGCTGACTCCAGCACTCTGAGAATGCCAGTGGAGGATGTCTACATCGTTGCTTTAAGGGAAGAAAAAGGAGATGGAAGGCCGTTTCTCTTCTTTATAGAAGCACCTGATGTGATTGCAGAACATTTAAAAGGCTATGGGAAATGATGGTTTTTAGTCACTCTCAATTAATAATTACATTAATAATTATAGGATTGACTCAGTTAATTTCAGAACATCAGTTTCATGCAACATAGGACTGATCAAAAGAGTTGTCATTTTACTTTACATAATGAACAATCAGTATGAGTAAGCAAATTGACTATTGGCATAACTCTGTAATACCTAATCAGGAGAATTTTAAGTAGTTTTGTCATTAACAGGAGTGTTTCACTGTTAGAGCAGAAACTGTGAGAATCAAGGGAGATGCTGAAGTTGGCCAGACTGTGATCTGTTCAGCAAGACCACACTTGCAGCAGGGCGCAGTGGCTCACGCCTGTAATCCCAGCACTTTGGGTAGCTGAGGCAGGTGGATCACTTGAGCCCAGGAGTTCAAGACCCCTCTGGACAACATGGCAAAACCCCATCACTACAAAAAAATACAAAAATTAGCTGTGTATGGGGCCGGTGGTAGCTCACGCCTGTAATCCCAGCACTTTGGGAGGCCTGAGGCGGGCGGATCACAAGATCAGGAGATCAAGACCATCCTGGCTAACACAGTGAAGCCCTATCTCTACTAAAAATACAAAAAATTAGCCGGGCATGGTGGCGGGCTCCTGTAGTCCCAGCTACTCGGGAGGCTGAGGCAGGAGAATGGCCTGAACCCGGGAGGCGAAGCTTGCAGTGAGCCGAGATTGCGCCACTGCATTCCAGCCTGGGTGACAGAGCGAGACTCTGTCTCCAAAAAAAAAAAAAAATTAGCTGGGTGTGGTGGCACATGCCTGTAGTCCCAGCTACTCGGGAGGCTGAGGTGGGAGGATGGAAGGATTACTTGAGCCTGGGAGGCAGAAGCTGCAGTGAGCTGACATCGCACCACTCCAATCCAGCCTGGGTGACAGAGTGAGATCCTATAATATCTCAAAAAAAAAAAAAAAAAAAGACTGCACTTGCCTAGAGAACAGCCAGAGCATCAGGCAAATTCCAGTATCTAGGATGTGCTAAAAACTCACACCAATGGATGAGCAACCCAAGACAGCATGCCAAAGAAGACAGAGCAATGGGATATCCCAGAGGAATGTGGTTTGTTTAAAGAAACCTCAACTGCATCAGAACAAAATGTCACACATTCTGCAATCTTCTTTTAATTCACTTACGGGATCTGGTTATCCCACACCCAACCTCACAAAAAAAAATAGCTATAAAATCTAAGAATAATTTTGGGTGAGGTGTTTATAAAGGAAAAATATGTAGTAAGTGTTGAATCAGTATAACATCCCTTAAATCTTTGGAGAGGTTTACAAAGCATGTTGGCCTCCGTCATAGATTCCTCTGTTAGACCCAGCATCACAAAAGCTGTACTCATTTTGGTATTCCTACTTGTTAGCACAGTATTGGGCACATAGGAAGTCCATCGTGCTTATAAAACTGAACCGTAAGCTAGCCTTTGCTTTTTGTTTTAATTTTCCATTGAGTTTTGATTCCTCCACTAAATCTGTGCCTTTCCTTCAGTCATTTTGTTTTCATTTCAGTGAAACAAATATAAATCATTCACTTCCTAGTTCCTTCTCCCTTCCAGCTCTAATTCTTGCATAATCTCTGTCCCCAGGGTTTACTGCTTCTCAAATTAAGAAAATGAATATCCTAAACACACACACACCAAAAAAAAAAAAAAAAAAAATCCCACCACACTTGCATGTACCCTTTGCACATAATTCAAACTGTACAAGTCTTTCGCATCATTTACAATCGTGTGTGAGGGAGCTCCTCAGAGAGAATACTTCAACCCACAGTGGATACTGATGCCTCCCAAAGGGCAAGAGCAAGTTTTGTTTTCATTTAATTTTGGTCATGTGCTCCTATTAACATAACTCTCAATGACCCTGTTTTATTAGGTACTAGATTGTTTGGGCAACATCACTACTAAAGACAAAAGAAGAAAATACCAAATGCTGGCAAGGATGTGCTGCAGTGATAGAAACGCTCACACACGGCTGGTGGGAGTGTATATTAATATAAAACCTTTGGAAAACTGTTTGACAGCATCTACCACAGTTAAACATGTGCATCCTAGGTATACACCCAAGAGAAATGTGTGCCCACATGCTCCAAAAGACATACTAAAAATGTTTGTAGCAGCATTAATAGCACAAAACTGGAAACAATCCATCAGTGGCAGATCGGACACAATGTGTGGTACAGTCATACTATAAAGCACGATGCAGCAGTGAAAATGCATCAACAGGCCAGGCGTGGTGGCTCGTGCCTGTAATCTCAACACTTTGGAAGGCCAAGGCGGGCGGATCACAAGGTCAGGAGTTCAAGACCAGCCTGACCAACATGGTGAAACCCTGTATCTACTAAAAATACAAAAATTAGCCAGGCATGGTGGTGCACACCTGTAATCCCAGCTACTCAGGAGGCTGAGGCAGGAGAATTGCTTGAACCCGGGAGGCGGAGGTTGCAGTGAGCCGAGATCGCGCCACTGCACTCCAGCGACAAAGTGAGATTCTGTCTCAAAAAAAAAAAAAAAAAAGAAAGAGGTAAAGAAAATGAAGCAGTACATGCAACAACATAGAGGAATTGCCACCCGACAAAAGAATATATGCTATATGATCTCATGCATATAAAGCTCCAAAACAGATAAAAATAAACAGTAGTATTTATTAACTATAGTGGGTTTTTTTAGGAATGCAAAACAAACTGGTAAAATTATGAGGAAAAGCAAGAAAGTGATCACCATAAAATCAGGAGATGTCACCCTTTAGGAGGAGAGTGAGGGACTTAGGATCAGGAAGGCTTTGGGGGCTTCTAGAGGTCTGGCAAGACTCTATTTCTTGACACAGGTGGCGATGGCATACAGTATCACTTTATAGAAATATGTTAAGCTGTACAAAATTGTTTTGTGTGCTTTTCTATTTGTCGTACTGAACAATTAAAAAGGTTAAAAGGGGAGAAGAATACAATGCAAAACTTATCAAAAGTTTTTTAAAGGTTTGCAGCTGGAAAAAACAATGGGCTAAGTCAGTTTTGTTCCACGGAGCAGACTGCAAATAAGTGGTAGCTATAAGAAGACAGATTTTGGTAAGACCAAATGACAGCAACAAAGGGAGGAGGAAGAGGCAGAGAGAAGAGAAGAAGAGAAAAACAAGGAAAGGCGGCAAAAGAAACACAATTATACTTGCTTACAAATAGAATATTCCTCACGAGAAAGTGAGGGTCCCATCACTGAAGCTAGTCAAACACAGGCTGGAGAACCATCAGGAGGGAGGTTCTGGAGAGGATTCAGTGGAACAGTGGAAAATGAATTGTATAGCATGTCCCCCCAGAACTAAGATTCTGTGATTCTATTTCTCTTTCTCAACAGTTACAGGTGTGGCCACTTAGAGAAACAGAAAAAATAAAAAACAAGAAAAGTATGGTCCAAATATCCTAAGTGTATAAAGCAGATACTCTAGTAGATTTTAAAATGTTTGTTTACAAGCCATTAACTAATCAAAAATAAAGGGAAGGGAAGAATTGAAGAGCTTCAAGGTAATGCTCAAGGAACCACTCCCAAATGAGGTCCAACCATATATGCAGAGCTGGCATCGGAAACAATGAAGCCAAGGATTCAGTTGACCCACAGTGTTCCTCAAACACATCTATTCTTTTAAGATAGATTACTAAAATAAATGGGTTGCATAAAAGTCATGGAATTTGGAAGCTTTATTTCCTTAACATTAAATGACAAGGCTTCAGCTTCTCAATCCCCCATCTAACATCAGCCAACAGATTTAACTTTTTGACACTTTCAGAGAAAGATAGCTGAGCCTTGGCTGAAGATTGTCTTAGAATATTTTACAAGAAAAAACAAGCTCTGCTGAGCTGGTAATAATCCAGATTATCATCCATTCCCCCTTGTAGAGGCACAATGGATTTTAACCAGTTTTCTGTTTTATAAATATTACCATGGCTCAAAACACCCATGAGGAGACACAACATTACTCGTGGTTCTCATCCTGTTTGCTAACTAATTATATCAACAACCTGAACCAACTTAACACTATACAAAAACACAGCTGATTTAGCAATCTGTAAATTATACATGTACATAAATCTGTACCAAAATGTGCTGTGTTTCACTCCTGCTAATGTGCATGGATTTTTACTGGCACCTACAATTGTTTGATATAGGTTCCCGAACACTAAAACATATGTTCTGCCCAGAATGGGACCATTTAGAGTAATATTTTTGTAGTTTCCTGGCACCAAGGTCTGCCAGCCTTTCTAAGACAGATCTCCTATTTGCTTCAGCAAACATTCTGACAACAAGTGCCTGCAGATTTAAGCAACTATCAAAAAATATTCTGTAACAACAGTTTCCAACCATGAATATAAAGAGAAACAGGCTGGTTTTGCCTATGTGGCAACAAAGCCAGTAGGATTTAAAATGATCACTGACATGACCATAAGCAAAATCAAATAAAATATGGAGTATTAATTATTTCTGCTGCCTACTTACGGCAATTTAAAGAACAGATAATTATCAAATCTTTCCTTAAATGGGATTCAAAATGTACCAAAGAAAGTTAAAAGTCGGTTTTAGTACCAGCAAGACCAGTAAACACCTTAGAAATGTTTTTTAAATACAGTGACAGGCCTAAACAGTCGCAGCCGGTCAACACTGTAAAATAGGGGCAAGAACCTTGGACCAAGATTCACTAGAATGTAATTTACTAATCACAAGGAGGGTTTCTTGTTTACCACTGTATCCTCAGTGTTCCATAAATACATTCAATAAATCTTTGTTGAATGAATAAACCAAAAACAACTGCTGGCTAGTCCCTGATCTGTCTCTAATTGCCTTTTCCTAATTCTGCCTCTTACGAATTGTAGGTAAATCACTTAACCTGAGGATTCTTAGGTGAGTTTTAGTTTAAGGATTTTAGTTCCTTAAACTCTAAAATGGAGAGACTGCACCTCCTCTACTAGCTTATGAGGATCAAAGGTGATACTCTGTGAAAAGTGACTTGGTACTTTATAATGGGGCACACAGATGTTAAGTGCCCATTATCCCCGCCTTTGCCTTCAGCTAAACCACTGACAAAGGTGAACAGACTGCATTTCCTTGAAATATAATTAGCCTTTCCTTTGCCCTATTATTCTGTTGAGATGTGGTAGTGTGGCTGTTAGCCAAGATGGATGTTGTTCTTGTTGTTATAACATTTTATTTAATCTCCACTGGGAAATTATGCTTCTTGAGAGAATATAATGGTAACATGAGGAAAGGGTTTTTGCATGGTGTACCATAAAGAATCTGACATTGGACTCAAATGGTTTGGGGCCTCATTAGTTCTGCCCTTAAATATTTGAGGAAAGCCTCTTGCATCAATTTCCTTATTTATACAATGATGGGGAAGGAGAGGCAGACTAGATAATATTTAAGGTCTGTCTCTTCCCACAGCTCTATGATATTCCGGGCATCAGATATTCAAATAACCCAAAATGAAGTCAGTACTATTATTCATTATCATATGAGAAGTTTTTAAAGGATGATAAAAATAGTTCCACAGACTAAGTCATAAAAGCTGGAGAAATTATAATGCTGAGAGAAGGATATATGATAGATGTCCTCTAAGGAATACCAGCCTCAGGCATTGTTTGCTCTGCCACTTTGAATAAGCCACTTAATATTCCTAGGACTCAGTTTTCTGATCTGTAAAAGAGGAACATTAATACTGCACAGGACCACTGGGAGAAAATATCTAATAAAATGATCATAAAATATTGCTATTCAAAGGTAAAATGCTATTTTAATACCGTAATGTCCAAAAAAGGGCTCATGGATTTTAGAATGAGACAATCAATATCTTTAAATAGACTTTTTCCACCACAGTAAAATAATATAATGCATGCAGATATTGTGATATTTCTAGGAGTTCACATTTTTTCTTCCATTTGTGTTCAGGAAATATTATAAAAGGGATCACCTTTTAAACATTGAGTCCCATATTTCAAGATGAGAACCATTTATTCTGAAATAATAATTTTAAAAATTCATCCAACTCTCCCAAGATGCTTCATTTTTTTTGATGCTATTCATTTGATTGGTTAATTGAAATCAACCTGCTGAAACTGGTGTTGAAATGACAATGCCCATCCTAAAAATATTCCCAGTGACTTATTCTATTCACATTCTATGATTACAGAGGGAAAGTGGCTCTAATAAGATCAACTAAAATAGACAGTATTCTGCCTTCACAGCTCCAAGATTCTTAAGGTTCCCTTAAAACCCAAGGCATCTTGTGACTTTTACATGTAAGTTTCTCTTCCTGCTCCCTCCACTCAAAAACATACACAGTATACATTAGGTACTGGGTTTCCCCTCTAACTTACAGGGCACTGCCTCTTTACTGAAAAATAGAATTGTCATTGATATTTATGAGAAAGTTGGTGTCACTGACAATGGGATAACCAAATTTGCAAGATTGTCTCCATACCCCTTAATAGTCCAATAAAAATAGCAATAATAGCACAGTAACTCTTATTTTATTTAAAAATAAATGAACAACTCCAGCTTTTTTATGGCAAAACAGTTCATTGTGGCTGTTCACATAGCAATTATCATCCCCTTGCATCCCCAGGTAATGACTGTGACCTTGACCTAAAAGCCACCTTAGTTTGAATAAGGAAGACCTTGAAAGGAAAGGTGACTGACCAGAAACACTCTTAAGAGGCACACAATAAAGAAATGATCATTTCTAAGAAAGTACTTAAATAATACGTGATTATTTGCTATGCTAGTTGATGTGTTTCATTATAAGATAAACTTAAATCACTGTTTAATTAAAGAGTGTTTATTAGTAGCATAAGTCACTTTTCATGCCCTTCCCCTGAATCCCTAACTAAATCCAAACAGAAGCTCATCATTTTACACAGAAGCTCCTTAGACTCTGAAATCGTGATATTTACACATTATTAAAACCCATTTCCTAAGTTAGCTCCTCATGTCTCCCTGGTAGAAGAATGTCATCTGTTTCTGGAAGGGGTGGGGTGGGGGCTCTAGGAGTCTGCAAAGAGCATCTTATGCTTGGCTATCTTTCAATATAGCCATTTGATGAACTCGTGCGCTGCGCCTTCCAACTGCCAGGACTCCTAGTCGCTCTGCAAGTGCTTAGTTGGGGTCTCTCCTCTGTTAAGTCCGAAAGGCGTTTGGAATTCTTCCTTTCCATCCCCGCTCCTAGGACTCTCGCCTCTCAAGGCTTCATGCTACCGTCGATCTTAATGCCACAAGGAAACAGATGAGTGCTGATTGTCAGTTTATTGGGTAATGGATCTATTTATAGGTTTGGTGAGATTGGGAATTTATAGGTGAGCAACACTTAAGGGTGGCATAAAACCGTTGTGGGTTTGGAAGAGGGGAAATATAACAGGTTTGTACCTGTGACCATTTAGTTCGCTCTGCACCTGTGCCCTCCACTTCCCACCTGACGCCAGGAAAACCATCTGCCCCTCACTTCGAAGGTGAGCCTTAACTTCACCTAGAAAGTGGTGGGTGGGTGAAGGGGTGGAATCAGGCCGCCGAGAGCACGTCCCGACACCTCGGACTTTTCAGTTGCAGGGATGGAAGGTGGAGGCAGCCGGATCCTCCCATTCTGAGGCAGCGGGGACCTGGAGTTGCCCGTCTCTACTGCTGGCTCTCCCTGGGGAGAGGCGGCGCCTCTGGGAGCAGCCCGGGAGCCCCAGAGCCTTCGCGGAAGGGTGGGCAGTGCCGATGGGGCGCGCGCTGCCGCTCCGGCTGCAGCCAGCTTTCCATCACTTTTCCCAGTACTTTGCTCAGCAGCTGTCACGCATCCTTGGAGATAAGACCGAGAGGGCGCTAGAAAGGCCCAAAAGGCGTCCCCAGAAGAGCTCTCCTGTTAGGATGGGGACCCATCAGACCCCGCCCCGCCCTGCCCACCTTTCTCTGCCTCGGGGAGGCTGCCCTGGGTGCCCGCGCCGCGGCTCCTTAGCAGAGCTCGCGGGTTCTGCTGCATCTGCTGGCTCCGAGCGGCGAGAGGTTCTGCAATAAAGGCACGGATAAAACGCCCGGGTAATCGAAATCCGAATGCACCTCTTACCATTGGACCGCCGAACAATATTCTCCAGAAACGTGTTTTGAGGGGCCACTAGTCCCCTCCTGCCCCCAGCCATGGTCATCCTCCCAGCAGCTCGGGGTCCGGCGGGCGTCCTGGCGCGGCTTCTTACGACAGCAGGAAACTGGCCTCGGGGCCCGCACGCAGTCCCGGCTCGAAGCGCCCCATGCGCCCGGCGGGGATCCGCAGGCAGGGCTGGCGGCTCCCTCTGGCTGCTACCCTCGCGCCCTCTTCGCGCCTCCCTCCCTGCGGCCCGCCTCGCAGTGCACTCGCGCCGGCCTCGGCTAGCGGCAGCCGCCTCCGGGTGGGCGGAGGGAGCAGCGGCGCCTGGGCCGGCGGCGCCCCCTACCGGGCTCGTGCCCCACCGCCGGCCTGCGGGAGACCAAGCTGGGGGGCTCCCGCAGAGGCAGGGAAGTGGCGGGCGGCCGTGGACCAAGGCTGGGACGGCAGCGCCACCCTCTGGGTTCAGCCGGGAAATGTGTTCAGGATGTGCCATGGGCTGGGTGGAGAGGAGGGCATTGTGAGCAGCTTTCAGGGCGGATTCACCCCCAACAAGTCTTAGGGGAGCGTGCTGATGTAACTCTCTTCCTTTGCTCTGTTTCAGGCCGGGGCCCCCGGGACCTGTGAGGCTCTGGGAACACCTTCTTGCCTTCCTGTAAGGTTAGCCTGACTAGTGAAAGTTGCCCCACCTTGATTCTAGGCCAGTGTTTGAGCAGTAATTAATGAAGTCGTATTGCAATAGTGCAGATTTAGAGTGACTGGCAGATTCAGCTTCAGAAGAGTTGTCTTGGGTTGTTTTTACCGTAGACACAAATGCAGGCTCCTGATGTTTGGTATGATCAGTATCAAACTGCCTGACAAACATCAAAGGGGTGGACTTGTCTCTAAGGGCGAATGCTCAGGAGAGGGGCAGCATTAATTAAGCAACCGTGGCTTTGGCTTGAAGGGTAGTCTGTAGTGCAGAGGATACAGTTAGTTTTTACAGCTGACCCCTGGTATACGGAAGAACCACATACACCCAAGGTTTCTGGACAGGGGCTAAGACAACGGTCGTTTGTTCACTTATTTTGGGGGATTTCGACCCACACATAGTCTGTACCTGCCTTTTTACTATGTATCCCCAGTCGGTGCGGTGGGAGACTAAGCCTATGTCCCACAGGAGAAATGAATGGAGAGTTTACTAGTTTCAGACTGAGTCAACAGTCAACACAAAAATGTAAGAGAAAAAAAAACTAACCCTGAAAATTAATTGTCTGGGTTAGCCATCCTGACATATCCTAATGTATTGCAAAGACATCCTGTCTCAGTTAATTAATTTCAAAAACAGAAGAACTAATTCTTGCCCAGAAATCTCTCAGAGTTGCTGTGAAGATCAAGCAAGAATTATGTATGGGGACAGCACCTTAAATTGTAAAGTGCTGTGCCAAGGTCAGACGTCATTATTGGAGTGACTAAATAAATTGGGCCATTACGAATATCACCCTTTATCTCGTCTTGTGTAGAGACAAAGTAAACAGATTGCTGTTAGCAGAGAGTTGGATAAGACTGTCATAGGATTTGAAATGCAAGTAATGATACACTTTTTCCTTAAGATAGCCTTCTACCCATCGCCTGTTACCTAGTCTAGAACAGTGATTTCTTAAACCCTAGCTCCGTCTAGTGGTTCTTTGTTCTATTACAAATGAGATAACACTGGTTGAAGAGAACTTGATTCTGAAATGTATTTGGTGCTGAGCTGAGCCAGTTTGGTGCCTATCCACTTCATTTGAATAAGTTCATTTAAATAAGGTTTTTAAAGTTGTGTTATCGCACAAACATGCCAAGGGAAGATTTTTCATGACAATATTAAAAACCCATCAAGAAACCTCATAATCCTGCTTGTGAAAGGAAGATAAAGAAAATAATGTGGAGGGGAAAACTATCATAGAGAGTTAATAAAATTTCTAAGGTTTTAATGAGCTCTCATGTTCTGTGGCTTAGATAAAAAAGGAAACAGATGATATTAGTTTGAGATCAGAGATGTTAAAGCCTTGGTGGGCAACCTGATGAGAAAAAGAAATAAGATGTCTTCCATTTTAAATGTACTACTGAAATGGATCTCAACATGGACTCTGTGTGTGTGTGTATGTGTGTGTGTATTGGCACCTTTTTGAATACTACAATTTTTGGTGGCACACTTGAAGAAATTAAAAGACCTAAAACAAAATAGTGCTACTACAAAGTGGTTCTTTTTTTTAAAGTTTTAAACCTCCAGATTGTGTGCCATAACACGATCACATTATTTTACGTCTTTTTGCTTAAATAAGACTGGATGCTTATAAAAGCACTGTTATACTGTGTTATGGCACTTTAAGTACTTGCTTAGAAATGATCATTTCTTCATTGTGTGCTTCTTAAGAGTGTTTCTGGTCAGTTACCTTTCCTTTCAAGGTCTTCCTTATTCAAACTAACTAAGGTGGCTTTTAGGTCAAGATCACAGTCATTACCTGGGGATGCAAGAGGAAGATAATTACTACGTGAACAGCTACAATGAACTGTTTTGCCATAAAAAAAAAAAAAAAAGCTGGAGGTGTTCATGGATTTTTAAATAAAATAAATATTTAAGAATTAAATTGCTAAAAAGTCAGCAGTCTTTCATCACAATGTGAGTGTCTCATGGTGTCTGTGGAGGTACATCCAGTTTTTCCCCCATTCCCTTGGTTCACTCACAACACATCTGACTGCAGGAATAAAATCATGTTCTGCCCTGTCCACAGCCACATTCTCAATATTCCAGTAAACACTCCCTCTTTCTTGGTGCTAGTTGACGGGATACTGTGCTTCTTACCTTTTACTTGCCACCTTTTGTTCCCTCCTTGACATTCAGTTCCAGCACCTGCTCAACTTAAAGTTCTGTCTGAGATCTACCTCTGTAATATGGGAATCTCAGTTAGAGTAAACTTTAATCTTACAGATTTGTCAAAACTTGGTAACAGATTTCTAAAGGATTCACAATATACCAATGTACCATGGCAAACCAATTGAGAACGCTTATATTTTTGCATAACAGACAAAGCCACTCCTTCATTTAAAGGGACAACTTTAAATAACTGTGACCAGAGTTCCAATTCAACTGCCTCTATCCTTCCATGCAGAAAATGTAGCCCATTTTCTGCAGGGATACAGAGTTCAGATACAGAGTCTGAAATAAATTCTAAAATGTGAGTCTACTATTTCTAGGCTTCTTTCCTCCTGTATCCCTCAGCATTTTGTTTACCCCTTAGCTATAAGATGTGTTTATGTCTGTATCACACCGTAGATTGTGAGCTCCTTGAAACAAAGACACACTATAACAATTTTTGTTCTTATAAATGCTATTAAGCTACACTGTAATTAGTGAGTTCACAAAAGTAATAGATAGTGATGAAGGCATAATGCTATAGGGAGAATATGGAGATGGTGATCTGCAGATTGGCTGGGAAAAGAGTCCAGGAGATGACAGAAAAATCTCTCCCAACAACAACAACAAGTCTATCAAATGAAGAGGATGACAATGCCACACATCAGAAGGGGCAAATGTTATCATATAAAGACAGGAACTTCATTTTTCCTTCCATTAAGACCACATGGTGTGGGTGACAGATTTTAGAAAGCCAGGAACCTCTCTAACATAGGAAAGTTGCCTGTGAGTCCTAGGTCTGCGAGCTGGAAGGGGCAGGCCATGGATGCATCGTCATTAGCAACTTAAGCGGAGGAGAAATTGAACATAGAGGCGACTTCACTACTCAGCCACCAGGAGTGAAATATCTAAATATCTAAAAGTGGAGGAATTTGCAGCATGAGAAATTTCAGCTTCTATAGCCCAATGACTGACTGACTTATTATATGTGATTTCTGTTAACAAAACTTCTATTTGAATAATCTTATAGGAAGAATGTTGGGCAGACTATATCCATTGAAAAAAAAAAAGATTCCCTGCTATAGATGTATTTCCCTAGTGTTGGGAGAATGGACAGAATCTGCTTCAAAGGAAATACTAGTCCCTGAATCTAATTGACTGGGGAAAAGAATGCACTGATGTGGGTCTACACTCACCCATGGTTAACCCAATAGATAGTGTGAAATGTTTGTAGAATTGAATTATATCCTTCCAAGTGCCCTAAGCTATTCTTCTTTCTCATTTCCTCTAAACAAAAGAGAAAAGGATCTTTCATCACACCCTTCCCTCAGTGGGAAATAATTAAAAGTCATTTACAACAGTCTCATTTTATTATGACAAACATTTGCATCGTGTCTAGTATATAGCAGACAGGGATAGGTTCTAAGGATTAAAAGATGGTTATGATTGGCACCTGCCCTCAAGAAATTCAACAAATATTTAATGAATGTGTATGTTCTTCGTCATTTCTTTCAACTGCTTTCCTGTCTCCAATGTGCCCTCTAAATCTTCCTTTCTTTTTAAATAATCTATAGTTCAACTTGACCTCTTCGCTTAAGATTTTTTTTTTTTTTTTTTGAGACAGGGTCTTGATCTGTTGCCTAGGCTGGACTGCAGTAGCAAAATCATGGCTCACTGCAGGCTCAACTTCCTGATCTCAAGTGATCCTCCCACCTCAGCCTCCTAAGTAGCTATAGGGGCAGGCCACCATACCTAGCTAATTTTTTTTTTTTCTTGTAGAGACAGGGTCTCCCTATGTTTCCCAGGCTGGTCTCGAACTCCTGGGCCTGAGCCCAAGTAATCCTCCCACCTCAGCCTCCCTAAATTCTGGGATTAAATGCATGAGCCACCACACCCAGCTAAGACTTTCTTTCCTCCTCTTAACTGAGATCTGGCTTTCCCCTAAAGTCTCAGAGTCCCGTCGGTCCCACTTTTTTGGAATATATTTATTCTGTCACAGTCCATGTACCTAGAAGCCAGAAGTTGAAGTGAGAAATTGTCTAGTTCCTCATTGCCATATTTAAACCACTGCTCTTCTCCATTCATGTAAAATTTCTCCTACTTTGAAGTTCATGAACAATGTCAATATCACTATACTTCAATTCTTAAAACAAACTTGGGGAAAATTGTATTCAGTTATGAAAAGGCTGAGTTGCCTGCAGGACATTTCAGAGAAATATCAAGTAGGTAGTTGGATATTCACATCTAGAACCCAAGAGAAACATCTGGGTGGTGCTCAAAATTGGAAATCATCAGTTTATAGCTTTCAAAGGAGACTGAGAAGGAGCAGTTTAGAAGTGGAGGGAACCGAGAGAAGTGGTTTTATAGAAGCCCAGAGGGGAAAGGTCTTTAAATGAAAAGAAAGAAGAAAAGCATCATTTATTGTACACTGTAGAGATAAACACTGGAAAATGTCCATTAGCTCTAATGATTAGTTGGCCATTTGATACTTTAGTGGAAACATTTTCAATGGAATAGTAGAGAGGGAGCCAAAGTGCAAGGGATTTAAAGATTAAATAGAAACATACAATTAAGCCGGGGGCAGTGGTTCACACCTATAATCCCAACATTTTGGGAGGCCGAGGCAGGTGGATCAGCTGAGATCAGGAGTTTGAGACCAGCCTGTCCAACATGGTGAAACCCCATCTCTACTAAAAATACAATATTAGCTGGGCGTGGTAGCAGGCACCTGTAATCCCAGCTACTTGGGAGGCTGAGGCTAGATAATAGCTTGAACCCAGGAGGCGGAGATTGCAGTGAGCGGAGATCACGCCATTGCACTCCAGCCTGGGCAACAAGAGGGAAACTCCATCTCAAAAACAAAAACAAAAACAAAACAAAAACCAAAAAAAAAGAAACATACAATTAAGATGTCAGATGGGGCTAAGGTGCAGTGGGTACCACTTTCCTCTCCTAAGCATACAGAAATGCCAGGTAAGGCTGGGCATGGTGGCTCACGCCTGTGATCCCAACACTTTGGGAGGCCTAGCCGGGTGGATCACTTGAAGTCAGGAGTTCGAGACCAGCCTAGCCAACATGGTGAAACCCTGTCTCTACTAAAAATAAAAAAATTAGCCTGGCATGGTGGCACACGCCTGTAATACCGGCTACTGGGGAGGCTGAAAATTTTATTGAAAACTTTATCCATGTCTATTGAGATGATCACATGGTTTTTGTTTTTAATTCAATTTATGTGGTAAATCACATTTATTGATTTGTGTATGTTGAACCAACCTTGCATCCCAGGAATGAAGCTTACTTGATCATGGTGAATTAACACTTTGATATGCTATTGAATTCGGTTTGCTAGTATTTAATTGAGGATTTTTGCATCTGTGTTCATCAGGATGTTAGCCTGTAGTTTTCTTTTTTTGTTGTGTCTTTTGCCAGGTGTTGGTATCAGGGTGATGCTGGCTTCACAGAATGAGTTATAGAGGAGTCCCTTCTCCTTGATTTTTTGGAATAGTTTCAGTGGAATTAGTACCAGTTCTTCTTTGTACATGTAGTAGAGTTTGACTGTGAATAGATCTGGTTCAGGGCTTTTATTGGTTGGTAGGTGTTTTTTTGTTTTTGTTTTTTTATTTACGGATTCAATTTCAGAACTCAATATTGGTCTGTTCAGTGTTTCAATTTCATCCTGTTTCAATCATGGGAGATTGTGTGTTTCCAGGAATTTATTTATGTTCTCTAGATTTTCTGGTTTGTGCACATATGGGTGTTCATAATCATTTCAAAGGATATTTTCTGTTTCTGTGGGATTGGTTGTAATGTCACCTTTGTCGTTTATGATTGTGCTTATTTGGATATCTCTTTTTTGTTATTCTCGCTAGCAGTCTATTGATCTCATTTATCCTTTCAAAGAACCAATTTTTGGTTTCACTGATTTTTTTGTACGGATTTTTGGGTCTCAATTTCATTCAGTTCTGCTCTGATCTTAGTTGTTTCTTTTATTCTATTAACTTTGAGGTTAGTTTGTTCTTGTTTTTCTAGTTCCTCTAGGCATGACGTTATTAATAGATTATTAATCTGAGAGCTTTCTTTTTGAAGTGGGTGTTTAGCACTAAACTTCACACTAATTTTGCCACATCCCAAAGATTTGGCTATGTTGTGTCTCTATTTTCATTAATTTCAAGGAATTTTTTAAATTTCTGCCTTAATTTCATTGTTTACCCAAAAGTCATTCAGGAGTAAGTTGTTTAATTTCCATGTAATAGTGTGGTTTTTGTTTTGTTTTGTTTGAGATGGAGTCTTGTTCTGTCACCCATCCTGGAGTGCAATGGCACAATCTCAGTTCACTGCAACCTCTGCCTCCTAGGTTCAAGCAATTCTCCTGCTTCAGCCTCCCAACTAGCTGGGATTACAGGCATGCACCACCACACCTGGCTAATTTTTGCACTTTTAGTAGAGATGGGGTTTCACCATGTTGACCAGGCTGGTCTAAAACTCCTGACCTCAAGTGATCCACCCACCTCAGCCTCCCAAAGTGCTGGGATTACAGGCATGAGCCACTGTACCCAGCCAATAGTGTGGTTTTGAGAGATCTTTTTCGTATTGATTTCTATTTTTATTCCACTATGGTTCAAGAGTATGGTTGGTATGATTTTGATTTTTTTAAATTCAGACTTGCTTTATGGCTGAGAATGTTGTTGATCCTGGAGTATGTTCCATGTGCAGATAAGAATGTATATTCTGTGGCTGATGGATGGAGTATTCTGTAGATGTCTATTAGGTCCAATTGATCCAGTGTTGAATGTAAATCCAGAATTTCTTTGTTGACTTTCTGCCTCAATGATCTGTCTAATACCGTCAGTGGGGTGTTGAGTTTCCCTAATATTCTATGGCTGTCTAAGTCTTTTTGTAGGTCTATAAGTACTTGTTTTATTAATTTGAGTGCGCCAACATTGAGTGCATATTTAGAATAGTTAAGTCTGGTTTAATTGAATACTTTATCGTTGTACAATCCCTTTCTTTGTCCATTTTAAACCTTTTGGTTAGTTTAAGGTCTGTTTTATCTGATATAAGAATAGTAATTCCTACTCTTTTTTGTTTTCCATTCGTGTGGTAGATCTTTCTCCAGCCCCTTACTTTGAGCTGATGAGTGTCATTAAATGTGAGATGGGTCTCTTGCAGACAGTAAATGAATGGGTCTTGTTTTTTTATCCAACTTGCCACTCTGTGCCTTTTAAGTGGGGCATTTCGACCATTTACATTCAAGGTTAATATTGATATGTGAGGTTTTGGTCCTAGTGTGAAGTTGTTAGCTGTTTGCTTTGTAGTCTTTATTGTGTGATTGCTTTATATGGTCTGTGAGCTATGTACTTAAGTGTGGTTTTATGGTAGGAGGTATCATTCTTTCATTTCCATGTTTAGAACTGCCTTAAGGATCTCTTGCAAGGCTGGTTTAATGGTAATGAATTCCCTTTGTGCTTGTTTGTCTGGAAAAGATTTTATTTCTCCTTCACTTACGAAGTTTTGTCTGCCTGGATATAGAAATTCTTGGTTGAAGTTTCCTTTCTTTAAGAATGCTGAAAATAGCCCCCAGTCTCTCCTGGCTTTTAAGGTTCCTGTTGAGAAGTCTGCTGTTAACCTAACAAGGTTCCATTTGCACATAACATGACCATTTTCTCTAGCTGCCTGTAAGATTTTTTTCCTTAACGTTGACCTTGGACAGTTGGTGACTATATGCATTGGTAACTATATGCATTGGTAACATTCATTTTATACGGTGTCTCATAGGTGTTCTCTGGATGTCTTCTATCTAGATGTCTATTTTTCTAGCAAGACTAAGGAAATTTATTGGATTATTTCCGTGAGAATGGTCATAAAGAAAATACAATCAAACCAAAATATGCCATGAAAAGAAAAAAAAAAAGATGTAAAACATGAATATGGTAAATGGTAAATACATTGAAAGTGACAGAAATAAATTCAAATATATCAGTAATCACAGTTAATGTAAAGGGATTAAATTTGCTTTTTCAAAGAAACTTTTAGATCAGAAAAAAAAAACACCACCTTTTGGTGGTTTAAAAGAACCTCATGTGGAGCACTGTGATATAAAAATGTTTAAAATGTAAAGAAATGGGCCAGATGTAGTCCCATGCCCGTAATCCAGGGTGTTGGGAGGCCAAAGCAGGAGGAACACTTGAACCCAGGAGTTCGAGAATAGCCTGGGCAACATAGTGAGACCCATCTCTACAAAAAAAAATTTTTTTAATTAGCCAGGTGTGTTGGCTCATGCTGTTCAGCCTAGCTACTTGGGAGGCTGAAGCAGGAGGATCACTTACGCCCAGGAATTTGAGGCTCCAGTGCTATGATCATGCCACTGCACTCTGCCCTTGGCAACAGAAGGAGACCCTATCTCTAAAAAAATATAATAAAAACAGGCTGAACATGGTACCAAATGCCTGTAAACCCAGCATTTTGGGAGGCTGAGGTAGAAGAAATGCTTGAGTCCAGGAGTTTGAAACCAGCGTAGGCCACAAAGCGATACCTTGTCTTCTCACACACAAAAAAAATTTTTAATAAAAAAATTAGCTGGCATGGTGGCATGCACCTATAGTCCCAGCTACTCAGGAGGCTAAGCAGGAGGATCACTTGAGCCCAGGAGGTTGAGGCTTCAGTGAGCTATGATTGAGCTACTGCATTCCAACCTGGGTGACAGAGTGAGACCCTGTCTCTAAAAATTAAATAAAAATTCAAAAATGAAATAGAAAAAAAGAAAAGAGGCCATGCATGGTGGCTCACACCTGTAATCCCAGCTCTTTGGGAGGCCGAGGCAGGCAGATCACCTGAGGTCAGGAGTTCAAGACCAGCCTGGCCAACATGGTGAAACCCCACCTCTATAAAAATACAAAAATTAGCTGCGTATAGTGGTGGGCACCTGTAATCCTAGCTACTCGGGAGGCTGAGGCTGGAAAATCACTTGAACCCAGAAGGCAGAGGTTGCAGTAAGCCAAGATCGCACCATTGCACTCCAGCCTGGGCGACAAGAGCAAGACTCCACCTCCCAAAAAAAAGAAAAAGAAAAAAAAGAAAGAAAGAAAGAAAAGGATATAGCAGGACTTTAGATTCAGGCAATATTTCAAATTAGAAAACTTTAAAACCCTCCTACTATAAATATCAAAAAATTCTGGAGATGTGTGTGTGTGTGTGTGTGTGTGTGTGTGTGTGTATACAACCTTTTAAATAAATTGCTGAACTCCAGTGAAATCAAGTAAATTCCTCAGGAACAAAAAACAGAGACAACTGAAAACCAAAGCAATGAGCACAAGCACAGTGATCTGACACTGTGACTGCCCAAGCAATTTGGGGAGGAGAGGGTGGAAACCCCGATTAAGGCCAGGTCAAGAAAAGTTTTATTGTCATGCTGAATTCAGGCTTTATTCTATGAACAATCTAGTGTAATAAAAGTTTAGGCAAGTGCATGACATGATTTGTATTTTATAAAAATATCTCTGATGGCAATGGGATAAACGCGCATGTAGAGAAACAGAGAAGGAAAGTTGAGTAAGGAAGACAAGGGCTATGCTATGACAATGGTAAGGGAAATAGAGAAGACTGCATGGATATAAGAGCTGTGTGTGAAGTAGAATCCTCAAAACTTGGTGAATCTGTGGATATAAGAATTTGAGTTAGAACGTCAAAAGTCGTAGCCAGTATTCTGCCTGGACATGTACGTATACAATGGAGCCACTCCTTCAACGGGGAGCACAAAAAATTTCAAAAAGAGAATCTTCCTCCTCCTTTTGAGGAGGCTGAAAAACAACAAAACATCTCTGACCTTAAATACCTAAATTCTGGTTGAGTGAGACTGGCAAAAATAAATATGTTTTTCATGTCTTAAAACATAGATATCTTTCACCACCTTTAATCATTTCATTTTGGAGCTAAAGGAGAATGCTTTAGAGCAGGTATAATTATTATAGAAAATATAAACTATCAGAATTATTTTACAGCATGGGACTTTGGAGATAAGTGCCATTATGTTAAGGTAAGGGGTACCTCAGTTGTTGCTCAGACTTTCAAAAGATCCTTTGACATTTTCTTTTCTAGTTGACTTCCTCAGCTCATTCATAAGATTGGAATCTTTAAAATGTTACTGCAATCCAATTCTAACATGACTGTTGTTAAAAAAAAATCTTATTTTATCTTTTAACGAAACATTGGAGTATCTAACTAGTACTTTGATAACCCCACAATATTAGTTACCTATTGCTGAAAAAAATTACTGCATAATTTAACAGCTTAAAACAACAAATATTTATTATCTCACAGTTTACTTGGGTCAGGAATCCAAGTGTAGCTTAGGTGGGTGCCTTTGGTACAAGGTGTATCATAAGGCTGCAATCAGGCTGCTAGCTGGGATTGCAGTCTCATCTGAAGGCTCAGCTGGGCAAAGGATCATCTAACCTCCCTCACATGGATTTTGGCAAACTTTAATTCCTCACAGGCTGTTAGACGAAAGCCTCCTTCAGTTCCTTGCCATCTGGACCTCTCCATTGGGCAGCTCACAACATAGCATTTAGCTTCCCACAGAGTGAGCAAGTGACAGAGCAGAAGAGTGACTGTCTAATATAAAAGCCACAGCCATACAGTCTTTTTCTTTTTTTCTTTTTTTTTTTTTTTCTGAGAAGGAGTCTCTCTCTGTTGCCCAGGCTAGAACGCAATAGCAAAATTTCAACTCACTGCCGCCTCTGCCTCCTGGCCTCCCAAGTAGCTGGGATTACAGGCATGCCCCACCACACCTGGCTAATTTTTGTATTTTTAGTAGAGACAGGGTTTCACCATGTTGGCCAGGCTGGTCTCAAACTCCTGACCTCAAGTGATCTACCCACCTCAGCTTCCCAAAGTGTTGCGATTACAGGCATGAGCCACCACGCCCGGCCCAACACACTCTTTTTGTGACCTAATCTCAGAAGTAACCTTCCATCCCCATCACTTCTACTATATTCTGTTTATTAAAAATCAAGCTCACACTCAAGGGGAAGGGATGACACAAGGGCATGAATACCAGGAGGCCGGGACCACTTTCTTAGAGGCTGCTTACCACATCTACTTTTGACCCTAAACATCTATCAACCATTGTCTACCACATTCTTCCGTATCTTTGGGATACTCAGGTTACTTAATTCATTAACCACTACCGCACCACCACAACCTTTACTTCCCAAGTTATTCAGCTTAGATGGCATGATCTGTCATTTTAGTAACTTTCTCACTAGTATCTTACCTGGCCTCTCTATCTTTTCATAATGCCTTATTCGAGATAAACACACTATCTACTTTCTCTTGGCAGGCATCCAGGCAGCTAAGCCATGCTGGATGAAGTTGCAAAACAGGCCAGGTTGGCATCACTATCCCTTAATGATTTCCTGTTCCACCGGAGCCTTCAACACTGTCTGGCAGTCATGTTATACTGCTCTAAATAAGCTTGCTTTCTACTCTTCGCCCTTTTAAACCTTTTTCCTTCCTTCTCACTCCCAATTTCAGTTTTGCACCCCACTTCCCAAAACTAAAAGCCAATGGTATGAGTTCCCTTGTGCTTCTACCACAAACACCTGCTTATAATTGCTAACTAACATCCCCTCATCTTTTCCACCTTTCGAAATAGTAGTGTGCTCTGAATGCCATCCCCTGTCACTTTCTCTCTACTGAATCCTTCATATTAGTATTAAAAAGTAAAATCCCCTGACAGCATTTCTGACTACCAGCTGCTCTCCTATATTTCTCCTCCTCTTCTTCACTGTCAATCTTTAAAGAATTGCCTGGACTATTTCCATTCCCTTACATCCTATTCTTTCTTCAACTCAATACATCTGCTTTCCCTCCCATCACTCTAATGAAATGGTTCTCACTAAGGTTATTAATGGCCTCCATATCACTAAAGCCAGGAGACATTTTTCAGCCTTCATATTACCAGACCTCTTGGTGGCATTTATAGCATACTTTTCCATTGGCTTCTGTGATTCCGTATTTTTTATTTTTTTCTTCTGTGTCTTTGTAGTGGCATTATTGATATTTATGGTTTTCCAACATCTTTTAGGTGCATTTCTATATTGTGTTCATTTCCTTGATTATGAATCCCACCCCTTACCTGCCCAAGTCAAAGACCAGGACCTATATTGCCAGCCCCTCTCACAATCAAGTTTAACCACGTGATCTAGGGTCCTCTACTCAGTTGCATCCACATGAGACTTGGACTTAGAAAAAAATGATGCAAAGAAGGAAACAAGTCAAATTCATTTAGCTTGCATAGGGTATTATGAGGGTTAAATTTTATAATATGCATAGAGTAATTAGAACAGTGCCTGGGACAACACAAGCACTGTATCTGCATTACCTGTTATTATTCATACAGGAACAGTGATAGTGCTGACGGCTTTTGGGGATAGCAAGAAACATCCTCAGTAATCACAAAAACCAAGGTTAAGTTTCATTACCCTGACATATAAGTTTCAAATAATCAAAAAAAAAAAATTTAAAGGAGCCCTATTACCACCCTATGTAAGCCAACGATTGTCATCAAACATAAGACACTCAAAGACATCTAAGGACCTGCTACCATGGCTGTATGCCAGGTAAGATGATGGATAGATCAACAAATAAGGAAACAGATCAAGGTGTGTTAAACATAATCTATAGGAGGTTGGAAGATTCAGTGTGATTTCAATAGTGGTGTCAAATGCTTAATCTACATCTCCAGGTGTGGGCAGCTGCAGAAGGACATGGTCAACCTTCATACATGGAATTTATTTTTTCAGAAATTAAAAGAGGATCAGGGGAAAAAATGTCTTGGTCTAGAGGGCAAAAGTTGACTCAATTAACCTGAAACAGGGACTGCCTTTCCCTAATTCTCATCAATGTTTGGGATTAGCTATGACTGTAAATTGTATAAAATGAGAAAAGTTTTTTTTAATGGATTACTGCTTTGCAAGACTGCATACCTGAATAATATGGGATAATATGTGTAATTTCATATAATCAACACATCTGAATAATGAGAATAATATATTATCTACTTCACTTGGTTGTAACAAGGAGTGATTAAATAAATTAATAAATATAAAGGAACAAGAGCAATGTCTGGCATACCATTGTTTGCTTGATTTTGTTCATACACTTCATGCTGTGCCATTCCCTTTTACTGTTCTAAAAACAGTATATGCAGCTAAACTGCCTGCAATTCAGGGGCTCTTTGAGGGGAAGGTCACTCACTGCATGAGAGGAGAAGGAAGAAAACCCATGAATTGTAAGAGTTTATCTTGGAAGCTAAAGTCCTCCCAACCCACCTTAATCTTTCCAGGATGTTGTAGCAGAGGTCTCCTAAGAGAAGAGGTGGGCAGAGGCCTTAAGGGTTTCTATTGCATGACAATGCTTAAGGTTATACCTGCCTGCCCCAGACTGGCTTTCCACCCACTACAGTGCCTACCTCAGGTAGTGCCTTTCTCTCCTTCCCCAGGCCAGCAATGCCGACTCCCCCAGAGCCTTGAGGGCAGCAGTTTTTATAACCTCAACCACACAAATGATTGTCCAGCTATAGCCAGAGAGTCCAGGAGAGCAACATAAAGGGATTGCGCTCTCTGCATAACACTGGGCAAGATTCAGAATTTAAAATTTTGAATCCCGCTGAATAACTACTCCTCTTTGTGCTTTTAAGTCACTGGGGAATCGTTGGTGTGTTTGGATAGCTTTGGTTTATTTACACTACACATGTTCTTGTTATCACAGATTTTCTCTTCACCAGCATGGGGTCTGCTTGCCTCTGCGCTTCAAATGCCACTTTGTTTACTCGCTGTGGTCATCCTTTTCTGTAAATACTGTGTCAGCATTAACAGCCTCCTCTATGGCTACCTAGCAGGTCACTTAGTAAACTATCTTTTAGTAACAACTACATAGAATGAATACTCAGGAGCCTTAATTCAATTTACCTGCATAAAGAAACTATTCACTATTACAACACAGTTCTAAAAGTACGCGGTGGCTCACGCCTGTAATCCCAGCACTTTGGGAGGCCAAGGCGAGCGGATCACGAGGCCAGGAGATCGAGACCATCCTGCCTAACACAGTGAAACCCCGTCTCTACTAAAAATACAAAAAAAAACTAGCCGGGCGTGGTGGCGGGCACCTGTAGTCTCAGCTACTCGGGAGGCTGAGGCAGGAGAATGGCGTGAACCCGGGAGGCGGAGCTTGCAGTGAGCTGAGATCGTGCCACTGCATTCCAGCCTGGGCGGCAGAGAGAGACTCCGACTCAAAAAAAAAAAAAAAAAAAAGTACTCTGATAAATCATCTTGATACGAAAGAAAGTGAAGAGGAACATAAAGAAACCAGAGCATCTATAGCTCTTCAAATAGTTCCTCTTTTGAAGAACGTGTAAGTACAGAAATAACAAAAGATAAATACCAGCTGGGCGCGGTGGCTCATGCCTGTAATCCCAGCACTTTGGGAGGCCGAGGTGGGCGGATCATTTGAGGTCAGGAGTTCTAGAATAGCCTGGCCAACATGGTGAAACCCCATCTCTACTAAAAATAAAAAAATTAGCCAGGCGTGGTGGCACGTGCCTGTAGTCCCAGCTACTTGGGAGGCTGAGGCAGGAGAATGGCTCAAACCTAGGAGGCGGAGGTTGCAGTGAGCCAAGATCGCACCACTGCACTCCAGCCTGGCAACACAGTCAGACCCCGTCTCAAAAAAAAAAAAAAAAAAAAAAAGATAAATGACAAATAGCTGTATCAACCTGGGGAACAAATGCCAGAGACTAATTCCTTTAATATTCTGAGAACCTGTGGAAAATGCTATGTAAAGCAGAGGACCACCATTTGGAGTATATGCATACATATAAATGTAACAGACTACAGAAAATATGGAATTCTAAGAATATGGAATTCCTCAATATCCTTTTTGCTCTTACCTACTTTATTAAAGAGAATAATATTTGAACTGTAGTCAACTTTTTACCATCATAAAGAAGAAATTGAAGTCTAAAATATGGAAAAAATATCTTAGGAAACTGTAGCTAAAGTTAGTTCAAGTTTCCAAGCCCCACTGAATTAAAAACTAGAGGAACTAAAATCCTAAACTCAAGAAAATGTTTTCTTGATTTTGTTCAAGAGGGATAAGAAGTGAATTATTTTGAAAAACCACACTTTAACTAAATACTTATTCTGGACAAATTGCTGATAGGTTATTAAACAGATGAGTTGGGAGTATGTATTAATCCTTTCTTGCATTGCTATAAAGAAATACCTGAGACTGGGTAATTTATAAAGAAAGGGGGTTTAATTGGCTAATGGTTCTGTGGGCTTTACAGGAAGCATGGTGTTGGCATCAGCTGGGCTTCTAGTGAAGCCTCAGGGAGCTTTCAAACATGGCAGAAGGTGAAGGGGGGACACAGTCTCACATAGCGAGAATGGGAGCAAGTGAGAGAGAGTAGGGGGAAGGTACCACACACTTTTAAGACCAGATTTCATGAGAACTCACTCACTATCACATAGACAGCACCAAGTGGATGGGGCTAAACTATTCATAAGAAATCCACCCCCATGATTTAAATACCTCCCACCATGCCCACTTCCAACACTGGAAATTATATAAGATTTAGAGGGAACATCCAAACTATATCAGAGTACCTACAAGAAAAGAAGGTTAATTGCTGAGAAGCAGAATAGGTAAATCAAATGGGGAAAGAGAGAGGAGCATAAGGTGGTAGAAGGAGGGAGAGTACAAAAAGTTCTTTGTAATATGGACCAAAAAGATAACTCAAGGAAGTCTTCAACGAAAAGCAGGCAGTACAGGCAGTGGTTACCACGAGGCTTGAGTGAGACTCAGTGCTGTCCCAGTGGTGGTGGTCACAGGGGTGCTTGTGTCACCCCACCTCAGCTCCAGGAAACTGGAGAGAGAACAGAGAGAGAGAGACTCCATTTATTTGGAAGAAAATAAGGGCGAGAACAAGAGTCTTCCTGGTAGTCCAGAGAATTCTTCTGGATCTTATCCAAGACCACCAGGGAGGTACCACAAAATGTCTGCAAGAGACACAGAAATACTGAGCTTGGGGTGCCCCCTAATGCAGATACAGCTACAGTGGCCAAAAAACTTAGATCACAACATCCAAGTCCCTTCAAATACCTGGAGAGCCCTCCTAAGAAGGATGGGTACAAAGAAGCCCAAACTATGAAGATTTCAATAAATACTTAACTATTCAATGCCCATACACTGACAAACATTGAGAAGCATCAAGAACATTCAGGAAAACATGACCTCACCAAACAAACTAAATAACGTACTAGTGACTTGGCCTGGCGTGGTGGCTCACACCTGTAATCCCAGCACTTTGGGAGGCCGAGGTGGGTGGATCATGAGGTCAGGAGTTCAAGACCAGCCTGGCCAAGATGGTGAAACCGTGTCTCTACTAGAAATACAAAAACTTACCTGCGACAGGTGGCAAGCACCCGTAATCCCAGCTACTCGGGAGGCTGAAGAAGGAGAATGGCTTGAACTCAGAAGGCGGAGGTTGCAGTGATCCGAGATCACGCCACTGCATTCCAGCCCAGGTGACAGAGTGAGACTCCATCTCAAATAAATAAATAAATAAAAATAAGGTACTAGTGACCAATCACAGAGACACAGAGATATGTGACCTTACAGAGAGAGAATTCAAAATAGCCGTTTTGAGGAAACCCAATGAAATTCAAGGTAACACAAAGAAGGAATTCAGAATCCTAACAGATAGGATTTAACAAAGAGATTAAAATAATTTAAAAGAATCCAGAAGAAATTCTGGAGTTGAAAATGCAATTGAGGCCAGATGCAGCGGCTCACACCTGTAATCCCAACACTTTGGGAGGCTTAGGCAGGTGAATCACCTGAAGTTAGGAGTTCAAGACCAGCCTGGCCAACATGATGAAACCACATCTCTACCAAAAATACAAAAATTAGTAGAGTGTGATGGCACATGCCTGTATTCCCAGCTACTCAGGAGGCTGAGGCAGGAGAATTGCTTGAACCCGGGACGTGGAGGTTCCAGTGAGCCAAGATCACATGACTGCACTCTAGCCTGGGTAACAGAGATCCTGTCTCAAAAAAAAAAAAAGCGATTGATATACTGAAGAAAGTATCAGAGTCTCATAACAGCAGAATTGATCAAACAAAAGAAAGACATAATGAGCTCGAAGATAGACTATTAGAAAATATACAGAGGATACAAAATAAATAAATAAAAAAGAAAAAGAATGAAGCATACCTAAAAGATCAAAAACATAGCCTCAAAAGGGCAAATCTAAGAGTTATTGGCCTTTAAAAGGAGATTGAGACAGATAGGAGTAGAAAGTTTATTCAAAGGCATAATATCAGAGAAAGACATCAACATTCAAGTACAAGAAGGTTACTGAACACTAAGCAGATTTAACCCAAAGAAGACTACCTCAAAGCATTTAATAAACTACCAAAGATCAAGGATAAAGAAAGGATCCTAAAAGCCGCAAGAGAAAAGAAACAAATAACCACACAATGGAGTACCAATATGTCTGGCAGAAGACTTTTCAGTGGAAACGTTACAGGCCAGAAGAAGGCGGCATGACATATTTAAAGTGATGAAGGACTATAATCTCAGCATTTTGGGAGGCTGAGGCAGGTGTATCGCCTGATGTCAGGAGTTCAAGACCAGCCTGGCCAACTTGGTGAAACCCCATCTCTACTAAAAATATAAAAAAATCAGCCAGGAGTGGTAGCATATGCCTGTAGTCCCAGCTACTTGGGAGGCTGAGGCAGGAGAATCTCTTGAACCAGGGAGGCAGAGGTTGCAGTGAGCTGAGATTGTGCCATGCACTTCAGCCTAGGAAACAGAGTGAGATTCTGTCTCAAAAAAAATTTTTTAATAAAATAAATAAATAAAGTGATGAAGGAAAAACTTTTATCCTAGAATAGTATATCTAGAGAAAATACCCTTCCCACATGAAAAAGAAATAAAGACTTTCCCAAACAGAAGCTGAGGGATCTCATAAACACCAGACCTGTCCTACAAGAAATACTAACAGAGTTCTTTAATCTGAAAGAAAGGAATGTTAATAAGCAAGAAGACATCACTGAAGGTACAAAACTCACTGGTAATACTAAATACACAGAATATTATAACACTGTAATTGTGGTGTGTAAAGTACTCAGATCTCAAGTAGAAAGACTAAAAGATGAACTGATCAAAAATAATAATTATATCAAATTTTCAAGACAGTACAATAAGATATAAATGGAAACAAAAAGTTAAAAAGCAGGGGGATGAATTTATATATTTATTTATTTATTTATGTTGAGATGGAGTCTTGCTTTGTCGCTGAGGCTGGAGTTCAGTGGCACGATCTCGGCTCACTGCAACCTCCGCCTCCTGGGTTCAAAGGCTCCTCCCACCTCCATCTTCCAAGTAGCTGGGATTACAAGCATTTGCATAACACCCAGCTAATATTTGTATTTTTTTAGTAGAGGCAGGGTTTCACCACGTTGACTGGGCTGGTCTCAAACTACTGACCTTAAGTGATCCACCCACCTCAGCCTCCCAAAGTGCTGGGATTACAGACATGAGCCACCACGCCCAGCCAAAGCAGGGGGATGAATTTAAACTGTAGAGTATTTATTAGCTGTCTCTTTGCTCATTAGTTTGTTTATGCAATCATCGTTAAGTTGTCATCAGCTTAAAAATGGGTTTTTAAATATCATTTGTAATACTTGGGGTAACCTCAAATCAAAAAACATACAACAGATACACAAAAAATAAAAAGCAAGAAATTAAAATGTACCACCTGAGAAAATCACCATCAGCAAATGGAAGACAGGAAAAAAGGAAAGGAGGAGAAGACTACAAAACAACAAGAAAATAAATAACTAAAATGGCAGAAGTAAGTACTTACTTATCAATAATAATATTGAATGTAAATGGATTGAACTCTCCAGTTAGAAAACATAGAGTGGCTGCATGGATTAGAAAATAAGACCTAATGATCTGTTACTTACAAGAAACACACTTCACCTATAAAGACACATATAAACTGAAAATAAAAGAATTGAAAAAGATATTCCAAGCAAATGGAAACCAAAAAAGAACAGGAGTAGCTACATTTGTATCAAACAAAATAAGTTTTAAGACAAGTACTATAAAAACAAAGAATGTCATTATATAATAATAAAGGAGTCATTTCAACAAGAAGATGTAAGTGGTAAATCTGCATACACCCAACACTGGAGCACTCTGATATATAAAGCAAATATTATTATAGCTTACAGAGAGAGTTAGACCCCAGTACAGTAATAGCTGGAGACTTTGACACCCCACTTTCAGCACTGGACAGATCTTCCAGACAGAAAATCAGCAAAGACATTGGACTTAATCTGCACTATAGACTAAATGCACCTAACAGATGTTTACAGAACATTTCATCCAATGGCTCTAGAATACACGTTCTCCTCAGCACATGGATCATTCTCAAAGATAGACCATATGATAGGCCACAAAACAAGTCTTAAAACATTCAAAAACTTGAAATAATATCAAATATCTTCTCTGACCACAGTGGAATAAAACTAGAAGTCAGTAACAAGAGAAATTTTGGAAACTATACAAACACATGGAAATCAAACAATACACTCCTTAATGACCAATATAACAATGAAGAGACTAAGAAGAAAATTGATAAATTTATTGAAACAAATAATGGAAACACAATATACCAAAACCTATGGGATACAGTGAAAGCAGTACTAAAAGAAAATATTTATAGCTATATGTGTCTACATCAAAAAAGTAGAAACACTTCAAATAAACAACCAAATGATGCATCTTTTTAAATTTACTTTTTTCTTTTTTTTTTTTTTTTTTTTGAGACAGAGGCTCACTCTATCACCCAGACTGGATTGCAGTGGTGCGATCTCGACTCACTGCAACCTCTGCCTCCCAGGTTTAAGTGATTCTTGTGCCTCACCCTCCCAAGTAACTGGGATTACAGGCATGCATCACCACACCCAGCTAATTTCTGTATTTTTAGTAGAAATGGGGTTTCACCATGTTGGCCAGACTGGTGTTGAACTCCTGACCTCAGGTGATCTACTCACCTTGGCCTCCCAAAGTGCTAGGATTACAGGCATGAGCCATCTCACCCAGCCTATTTTAATTTTTCTAATATTTTTAACTTTTATTTTAGGTTCAGGGGTACATGTGAAGTTTTGTTACATAGGTAAATTTGTGTCATGGAGGTTTGTTGTACAGATTATTTCATCACGCAGGTATTAAGCCCAGTACCCAACAGTTATCTTTTCTGGTCCTCTCCCTCCTCCCGCTCTCTACCCTCAGTTATACCCCAGTGTCTGTTGTTGCCTTCTTTACATTCATAAGTTCTCATCATTTAGCTCCCACTTATAAGTGAAAACATGTGGTATTTGGTTTCCTGTTCCTGCATTCATTTGCTACAGATAATGGCTTCCAGATGTATAGTTTGCAAATATTTTCTCCCATTCTGTAGGTTGTCTGTTCAACCTGTTGATGGTTTATTTTGCTGTGCAGAATTTCTTATGCTTTTAGATCCCACTTGTCAATTTTTGCTTTTGTTGCTATTGTTTTTGGTGTCTTTGTCATGAAATCTTTGCCTGTTCCTATGTCTAGAATGGTATTGCTTAGGTTGTGTTCCAGGGTTTTTATAGTTTTGGACTTTAAAGTCTTTAAGCCATCTTGAGTTGATTTGTTATATGGTATAAAGAAGGGGTCCAGGCCAGGTGCGGTGACTCATGCCTGTAATCCCAGCACTTTGGGAGGCTGAGGCGGGTGGATCACAAGGTCAGGAGTTCAAGACCAGCCTGACCAAGATGGTGAAACTCCGTCTCTACTAAAAATACAAAAATCAGCTGGGCATCGTGGTAGGCATCTGTAATCCCAGCTACTTGGGCGGCTGAGGCAGAGAACTGCTTGAACCCAGGAAGCAGAGGTTGCAGTGAGCCAAGATGATGCCACTGCACTCCAGCCTGGGCAACAGAGCAAGACTCTGTCTCAAAAAAAAAAAAAAAAAAAAAAAAAGAAGGGGTCCAGGTTCAATCTTCTGCATATGGCTAGCCAGTTATCCCAGCACTGTTTATTGAATAGGGAGTCTTTTCCCCATTACTTGTTTTTGTCAAAGATCAGATAGTCGCAGGTGTGCAGCCTTGTTTCTGAGTTCTCTATTCTGTTCCATTGGCCTAGCTGTCTGTTTTTGTACCAGTACTACGCCGTTTTGGTTACTGCAGCTCTGTAACATAGTTTGAAGTTTGCTAATGTGATGCCTCCAATTTTGTTCTTTTTACTTAGGATTGCCTTGGCTATTCAGGCTCTTTTTTGGTTCCATATGAAATTTAAAATAGTTTTTTCTAGTTCTGTGAATAATGTCCTTGGTAGTTTGATAGGCGTCACATTGAATCTGTACATTGCTTTGGGCAGTGTGACCATTTTAATGATATTGATTCTTCCTATCCAGGAGTATGGAACATTTTTCCATTTGTTTGTGTTTTCTCTGATTTCTTTGAGCAGTGTTTTGTAATTCTCATTGTACAGACCTTTCACTTCCCTAGTTAACTGTATTCCTAGCTATTTTATTCTTTTTGTGGCAGTTGTGAATTAGATTGCCATTCTGATTTGGCTCTCAGTTTGGCTGTTTTTGGTGTATAGGAATGCTAGTGATTTTTGTACATTGATTTTGTATCCTGAAACTTTGATGAAGTTGTTTATCAGCTGAAGAAGCTTTTGGGCTGAGACTATGGGGTTTTCTAGATATAGAATTATGTCATCTGCAAACAAAGATAGTTTTACTTTCTCTCTTCCTATTTGGATGCTCTTTATTTCTTTCTCTGGAATGATTGCTCTGTCTAGGATTTCCAATACTGGGAAATGTTGAATAGGAGTGGTGAGAGAGAGCATCTTTGTCTTGTGTTGATTTTCAAGGGGAATGCTTCCAGCTTTTGCTCATTTGGTATGATGTTGGCTGTGCGTTTGTCATAGACGGCTCTTATTATTTTGAAGTATGTTCCTTCAATACCTAGTTTATTAAGAGTTTATAATATGAAGAGTGTTTAATTTTATCAGAAGTCTTTTCTGCATCTATTGAGATAATCATGTGGTTTTTGTCTTCAGTTCTGTTTATGTGATGAATCACATTTATTAATTTTCATATAATGAACCAACCTTGCATCCTTAGGATGAAGCCTACCTGATCATGGTGTATTAGTTTTTGATGTGCTGCTGAATTTGGTTTTCCAGTATTTTGTTGAAGATTTTTGCATTGATGTTCATCAAGGATATTGGCCTGAAGTTTTCTTTTATTGTTGTGTCTCTGCCAGGTTTTTGTTTCAAAGTGATGCTGACCTCATAAAATGAGTTAGGGGATGGGCACAGTGGCTCACATCTGCAATCCCATCATTTTAAGGGGCTGAGGCAGGTGAATTGCTTGAGGTTAGGAGTTCAAGAACAGCCTGGCCAACACGGCAAAACCCCATCTCTACTAAAAATACAAAAATTAGCTGGGTGTGGTGGTGTGCACCTGTAATCCCAGCTACTCGGGAAGCTGAGGCATGAGAATTGCTTGAACTTGGGAGGCAGAGGTTGCAGTGAGCTGAGATCACACCACTGAACTCCAGCCTGGGTGACAGAGCAAGACTCTGTCTGAAAAAACAAAAGAACTAGGGAGGATTCCCTCCTTCTCAAATTTTGGAATAGTTTCTGTAGAAATGTACCAGCTCTTCTTTGTACATATGGTAGAATTCAGCTGTGAATCCATTAGGTCCTGGGCTTTTTATGGTTGGTAGGCTATTTATTACTGAATCAATTTCAGAGCTCATTATTGGTCTGTTCAGGGACTAAATTTCTTCCTGGTTCAGTCTTGGATGAATGTATTTGTCCAGGAATTTTTGCGTCTCTTCTAGGTTTTCTAGTTTGTGTGCATAGAGGTGTTTGTAGTAGTTTCCAACGGTTATTTTTATTTCTGTGGCATCAGTTGTAACACTCCCTTTGTCATTTTTAATTGTGTTTATTTGGATCTTCTCTCTTTTCTTCTTGATGAGTCTAGCTGGCAGCCTATCTATCTTAATAATTTTTTCAAAAAACCAACTTCTGGATTCGTTGATCTTTTGAATGGTTTTTTGTCATAATTTCCTTCAGTTTAGCTCTGATTTTTATAATTTCTTGTTGTCTTCTAGCTTTGGGGTTGATTTGTTCTTGCTTCTCTAATTATCTCAGTTGTGATGTTAGGTTGTTAAATTGAGATTTTTCTAACTGTTTGATGTAGGCATTTTAGTGCTATGAATTTCCCTCTTAACACTGCCTTAGCTGTGTCCCAGAGATTTTGGTATGTTGTATCTTTGTTGTCATTATTTTCAAAGAACTTCTTGATTTCTGCCTTAATTTCATCATTTACCCAAAAGTCATTCGGGAGCATGTTGTTTAATTTCCATGTAATTGCATGGTTTTGAGCAATTTTCTTGGCCTTGACTTTTATTATTATTGCATTGTGGTCCAAAAGTGTGTTTGGTATGATTTTGGTCCTTTTGCATTTGCTAAGAATTATTTTATGTCCAATTATGTGATTGATTTTAGAGTATGTGTCATGTGTCAGGCAATGAGAAGAATGTATATTCTGTTGTTTTGGGGTGGAGAGTTTTGTAAGGATCTATCACATCCATTTCATCCAATGTTGAGTTCAGGTCCTGAATACCTTTGTTAATCTTCTGCCTGGATGATCTGTCTAATAACGTCACCAGAGTGTTGAAGCCACTATCATTATTCTTTGGGAGTCTATGTCTCTTTGTAGGTCTCTTAAGAACTTGCTTTATGAATCTGGGTTCTCCTGTGTTGGGTGCATGTATATTTAGAATAGTTAGGTCTTCTTGTTGAATTGAACCCTTTACCATTATGTAATATCCTTCTTTGTCTTTTTTATCTTTATTGGTTTGAAGTCTGTTTTGTCAGAAACTAAGATTGCAACTCCTGCTTTCTCTGTTTTCCATTTTCTTGCTAGATTTTTCTCCATCTTTTTATTTTGAGCCCATGTGTGTGTCATTACATGTGAGATGGGTGTCTTGAAGACAGCATACCATTGGGTATTGCTTTGTTTGTTTGTCTTTTATTCTTTTTTCAGCTACTTTGGCATCACCACACCTGGATGGAGCTTGCTTTTTTATCCAGGTTGCCACTCTATGCCTTTTAAATGGGGCATTTATCTTTATTGCATTCGAGATTAATATTGGTATGTGTGGATTTGATCCTGTCATTGTGTTGTTTGCTGGTTATTATGTTGGCTTGTTTGTGTGTTTGCTTTATAGTGACACTGACCTGTGTGTTTAAGTGTGTTTTTGTGTTATCTGGTAGTGGTTTTTCCTTTCTATATCTAGTGCTCCTTTCAAGATCTCTTGTAGGGTAGGTATAGTGGTAACAAACTCCCTCAACATTTGCTTATATGAAAAGGATCTTATTTCTTCTTCACTTAGGAAGTTTAGGTTTGGCTGGGTATGAAATTCTTGGCTGAAGATTTTTTATTTAAGAATATTGAATATAGGCCCCCAATCTCTTCTGACTTGTAGGGTTTCAGCTGAGAGGTCTTCTGTTAGCCTGATGGGGTCCCTTTGTAGGTAATCTGCCCCTTATCTCTAGCTGCCTTTAACATTCTTTCTTTCATTGTGACCTTGGAAAATCTGATGATTATGTGTCTTGTGGGTGATCTTCTTTTTTTTTTTTTCTTTTTTTTTTTTTTAGATAGAGTTTTGCTCTAGTTGCCCAGGCTAGAGTGCAATTATGTGATCTCGGCTCACTGCAACTTCACCTCCTGGGTTCAAGCAATTCTCCTGCCTCAGCCTCCCAAGTAGCTAGGACTACAGGTGTGTGCCATCATGCCTGGCTAGGTTTTTTTTGTTTTGTTTTTTGTTTTTCTGTATTTTTAGTAGAGATGGGGTTTCACCATGTTGGTCAGGCTGGTCTCGAACTCCTGACTTCAGGTGATCCACCCACCTCAGCCTCCCAAAGAGCTGGGATTACAGATGTGAGCTACCAGGCCCAGCCTGTGGGTGATCTTCTTGTGTTGAACTTTGTAGGAGTTCTCTGTATTTCCTGAATTTTGCATTCACCTCTCTAGCAAAGTCAGGGAAGTTTTCATGGATGATATCCTGAAATATGTTTTTGTAGTTGTTTGCTTTCTCCTCTTCTCTTTCAAAAATGCCAGTGATTGGTAGATTTGACCTCTTTACATAATTCCATACTTCTTAGAGGTTTTGTTTGTTCTTTTTTTTTTTTTTTGAAACGGAGTTTCGCTCTTGTCACCCAAGCTGGAGTGCAATGGCACAATCTTGGTCACTGCAACCTCTGCCTTCCGGGTTCAAGCAATTCTCCTGCCTCAGCCTCCTGAGTAGCTGGGAGTACAGGTGCCCACCACCATGCCCAGCTAATATTTGTATTTTTAGTAGAGATGGGTTTCACTATGTTACCTAGGCTGGTCTCAAACTCCTGACCTCAGGTGATCCACCTGCCTCAGCATCCCAAAATGCTGGGATTACAGGCATGAGCCACCACACATGGCCTGTTTGTTCCTTTTTACCCTTTTTTTTTTCTACTTTTGTCTGCATTATTTCAGAGAACCTGTCTTTAAGTTCTGCAATTCTTTCCTCAGCTTGGTTTATTCTGCTGTTAGTATTTGTAATTGTATTGTGAAATTTTTGTATTGTGTTATTCAGTTTTGTCAGACCTGTTAGGTTATTTTTTATACTGGCTATTTTGTCCTTTAGTTCCTGTTTTGCTTCAATTGGGATTCTTAGTTTCTTTGGATTAGGTTTTGCTGTCCTCCTGAATCTCAATGATTATTTTCCTAACCATATTCTGAATTATATTTCTCTCATTTCAGCCAGGCATGAGCCATCACACCTGGCCTACAAGGTATTTTTGGAGTTGAAGCTTTGGGGTGTGATCCAGTAGGTAGCATTTAGGCTTATTGATCAATTGGTAGACTCTTGCTCGGTTCTGTGGCTCCCATTTCCTAACAATTGCAGCCATGTTCCCTCTCAATGCTTTGAAAGTGTGGTTTCCTCTCCCCCTTGAGTGTTGGTTGTTGATCACTGCTTGGCACTCCTGGGCTGCCCACTGCATCTCTGGGGCGATATCAGTGTTTGTTTCTTCCCCAGCTTGGAGGCAGCAGAGGAATAGGCCTTAGCAGTGGTTGTGGCCAAGGGTCTTTTGCTTGTTCCCTGGGGGCTCCACCCAGAGAGGTGCAGGTCGGCAATTACTCAGTGCAATCAGCCCAGAATGGAGGGTCTGTGCTGTGGGCCCAAGCCAGGGGTTCCCTGTCTGGTGATAAGCAGTGGAAGGTGTGTGAGACCAGTGGGAGACAGACTGGCATCCTCTCCTTGGGTCAACTGCAGCTTGTAGGAAGTGTGGATAAGGTACTTAGGCCTTTGCTCCTTGTTTGTCTGAAGGTAACAAGGGCAGTTTTACTACAGAGGCAGTGGCAGAGAGGCTTTCAGTTGCCCCTGGAGACTCTGTTCAGGGAGTTGCCGAGTTGCTACTGGCTCAATAGCTCTGACGCAGGGCTGGCTGGAGGCCAGGTGTGGAGGACCTGCCTGGTGAGGAGAGACGGAAGTGGGCACCCATGTAACAGTCTGGCCACTTTTCCTTAGGGCTTCTTCAGTATGCTGGAGGCCTGCTCCAGTCCCTAGTCACCTCAGATTTTCTAGTACCAGGAGGTATCACCAGCAAAGGATGCAAAGCAGCAAAGATGGCAGCCTGCCCTCTCCTCTGGGAGCTCTGTCCGAGGGAGGTACAGACCTGTTGCCAACCGGAAAGCATCTGAAGGAGGTGGCTGGAGACCCTGGTTGGAAGGTCCTGCCCATTGAGAAGGCATGGGATCAGGGAGCTGCTTAAAAATACAGTCTGGCCATGTTTTCATAACGCAGCGGTGCTGTGCTGGGGATCCACCTAAGCTCTCCATTGCCATGGACACCCCAAAACCTGAAGGCTGGAATGGCTAAGTCACCCAAACAGCAAAGATGGTGGCCTGCTCCTCCCCTTGGGAGCTCCAACACAGGGAGGTTTGAAACCTCTGTCAGGCAGAAAACACTGGTGAGGGTAGCTGGAGACCCCAGTTGGGAGGCCCCACCTGGTGATGAGGAATGGGATCAAGGACCCACTTTAAAAAGCAGTCTGGCAATGCTTTTGCAGAGCAGCTGTGCTGTGCTGGGGTACCACTTCCACCCCTGATCGGCTTGGGCTTTCCAAAGCTGGAAGGCTGGAACCACTAAGTTGCCCAAACAGCAAAGGTGGCAGCCCACCCCTTCCTCTGGGATGTCCATCCCAGGGAAGTTTCAAGTATCTGTTGGCCAGAGAATACTGTCTAGGGTGGCTGGAGACACCAGTTGGGAGGTCCTGCCCAATGAGGAGGAATGGAAAAGGCCATGCCTTAAAAAGCAGCCTGGTCACATTTTCATAGAGCAGCTGTGTTATGCTGGAGGATCCCTTCCACCCTGGTCAGCGCAGACTCTCCAAAGCCCGAAGGCCGGAATGGCTAAGTCGCTCAAACAGCAGAGATGATGGCTCACCCCTCCTTCTGGGAGCTCTGTCCCAGGGAGGTTTCAAAACTCTGTCTGCCACAGAACACTGGTGGGGGTAGCTGGAGGCCCCACTTGGGGATCACAGCCAAACAGGAGGAACAGGATCAGAGACCCGCTTTAAAAAAGCAGTCTGGCCATGCTTTCATAAAGCAGCTGTGCTGTGTTGGGGTATTGCCTCCACCTCCAGTTGGCTGGGACTCTCCAAAGCCCAAAGGCTGAAATGGCTAAGTCACCCAAACAGCAAAGATGGCAGCCTTCCCCTCCCGCTGTGAGCTCTGTCTCAGGGAGGTGCAGTGCTGCTGGCGGCTGGCTGGAATTCCAAGCCAGTGGGTCTTATCCTGTGAGGTGCCATGAAAGTGGGGCCTGTAGACTGTCACTGCTCAGCCCCCTGGATTCAGCTTCTTTCCTACGGGTATGTACATTTGTCTCATCTCCTGCTTTGCCAGAGTTGCAGCTACTTTTGCTGGGAGGCCAGGAAAGCCCAAGTATCTAAAGCTCCTGGGTCTCCACACATCCCTGAGCAGCTATGTGAGCTGAGACTCCACATAGCTCTATCTGTCAGACTGAAGGCCCTAATGGAGTGGGTTCATGAGGGGATCTCCTGACCTGAGGGTTGCAAAGATCCATGGGAGAATCATGGGTTCCCATGATTGCACATTCCCTGGGTTGGGGAGGCTCCCCTGGCTCCATGTCGCTCCTGGGTGTGCCATCATCCTGCCTTGCTTTTCTTCATTCTCCATGGGTCAAGTTGTTTCCTTGGTTAGTCCCACTGAGAGTACCTGGATGTTTCAGTTGAAGGTGCTGAATTTACTGGCCTCTTCCATTCCTCTCCATGAGAGCCATGCACACTAGCTGCCTCTAGTCAGCCATTTTGTCCACCCTCCTCCTAATGATCCATCTTGAAGAACTAGGAAAGCAAGAGCACACCAAACCAAAGGAGAAAAAAAGAAATAATAACAATCAGAGCAGAAATAAATGAAATTGACATGAAAAAAACAATACAAGAGATTAATGAAACAAAAAGTTGGTTTATTGAAAAGATAAATAAAAATTACAAACCTTTAGCCAGACTAAGAACAAAAGAGAGAAGACCCAAATAAATAAAATCAGATATGAAAAGGAGACATTAAAACTGATTCTTCAGAAATTCAAAAAATCATTAGAGGCTACTTTATTGGCATATCAGCAACTATATGCCAATAAAATGGAAAATCTAAAAGAAATAGATAAATTCCTAGACATATACAACCTACCAAGATTGAACCAGGAAGAAATCCAAAACCTGAGCAAACTAATAAGAAGACTGAAGCTATAATAAAGTCTCCCACCAAAGAAAAGTCTGCAACCTATCGGCTTCACTGCTGAATTTTACCAAACCGTTAAAGAAGAACTAATACCTATATCCAGAATGGTATTGCCTTGGTTGTCTTCCAGGGTTTTTATAGTTTTATAGTTTTTGGTTTTACTTTAAATCTTTAATCCAAATTAAGTTAATTTTGTACATGGTGTCAGGAAGGGGGTTTCAATCTTCTGCTTTTGGCTAGCCAGTTATCCCAGCACTGTATATTGAATAGGGAATCTTTTCCCAATTGCTAGTTTTTATAAGGTTTTTCAAAGATCAGATAGTTGTAGATGTGCAGCCTTATTTCTAGGTTCTCTATTCTGTTCCACTGGTCCATATGTCTGTTTTTGTGCCAGTACTATGCTGTTTCGGTTACTGTAGCCCCATAGTATAGTTTGAAGTCAGGTAGTATGATGCCTCCTGCTTTGTTCTTTTGTGTAGATTGCCTTGGCTATTCAGGCTCTTTCTTTTTTTTGGCTCCAGGAGTTTTAAAATAGTTTTTTCTAGTTATTTGAAGAATGTCAATGGTAGTTTAGTGGGAATAGCATTGAATCTACAAATCGCTTTGGGCAGCATGGCCATTTTAACAATATTGATTCTTCCTATCCATGAGCATAGAATGTTTTTCCATTTGCTTGTGTCATCTCTGATTTCTTTGAGCAGTGTTTTGTAGTTCTCCTTGTAGAGATCTTTCAACTCCCTGGTTAGCTGTATGCCTAGGTATTTTATTCTTTGTGTGGGAATTGTGAATGGGATTGCATTCCCGATTTGGCTCTCAGCTTGACTATTGTTGTTGATGCATAGGAATGTTAGTGATTTTTGCACATTGATTTTGTATCATAATACTTTGCTAAAGTTGTTCATCAGCTTAAGGAGCTTTTGGACTGAGACTATGGGGTTTTCTATATAGAGAATCATGTCATCTGATATGCCAAAAATAATCACAACAAAAAAATTGACAAATGGGATCTAATTAAACTAAAGAGCTGCACAGCAAAGGAAACTATCAACAGAGTAAACAAAAAACCTACAGAATGGGAGAAAATTTTTGCAAACTATGCATCTGACAAAAGTCTAATATCCAGCATCTATAAGGAACACAAACAAATTTACAAGAAAGAGAAACAACCCCATTAAAAAGTAGACAAAGGACATGAACAGACACTTTTCAAAAGAAGGCATACAAGTGGCCAACAATCATGAAAAAAAGCTCAACATCACTCACCATTAGAGAACTGATGCACAGGCAACCTTTCAAAGCAAAAAATGGTCAAAAAAAACCTTCTGCACAGTAAAGGAAATAATCAATAAATTGAAGAGACAACCCACAGAGTGGGAGAAAATATTTGCAAACTATCAACATGACAAGAGATTAATAACCATAATATATAAGGAACTCAAAAAACTCTACAGGGAAAAATCTAATAATCTGATTTTAAAATGGACAAAAAATCTGAATAGACATTTCTAAAAAGAAGACACACAAATGGCAAACAGATATTTGAAAAAGGTGCTCAACATCACTGATCATCAGAGAAGTACAAATCAAAATTACAATTAGCTATCACCTTACCCCAGTTAAAATGGCTTTTATCTAAAAGACAGGCAATAACAAATGCTGGCAAAGATGTGGAGAAAAGGGAACCCTTGTACATTATTGGTGGGAATGTAAATTAGTACATCCACTATGAAGAACAGTTTGGAGATTCCTCAAAAAACTAGAAATAGAGCTACCATATGATCCAGCAATGCCACTACTGGTATATATATCAAAAAAAAAAGGAAATCAGTATATCAAAGAGATATCTGCACTTTCATGTTTATTGCAGCAGTATTACCTAAGTGGCCATAACAGACAAATGGATAAACAAAACGTGGTATATATACACAATGTACTATTCAGCCATAAAAAATAATGAGATCCTATAATTTGCAACAACAGGGACAGAATTGAAGGTTATTATGTTAAGTGAACTATGTTAGGCACAGAAAAACAAACTTCACATGTTCTCAGTTATTTGTGGGAGCTGAACATTGAAACAATTGAATTCATGAAGATAGATAGTAGAATGATGGTTATCAGAGCATGAAAAAGGGTAGCTGGGGTGGGGGTGGTCAATATAATTACATAGATATATAAATATATTATTAGAATGAATAAGATCTAGTATTTGATAGCACAAGAGAGTGACTACAGTCAATAATAATTTATTGTACATTTTTAAATACCTAAAAGTACAATTGGATTGTAACACAAAGAAAGGATAAATGCTTGAGGTGATGGATACCCCATTTACCCTGATATGATTATTACACACTGTATGCCTGTGTGTAAAATATCTCATGTACCCTATAAACATATATATTTATTATGTGCCCACAATACTTTTTTAAAAAAAAAAGAAAGGAAAATAGGCAGTGGCTAGCACATATTTCCAAGATATCTGATTCTATGGGGTCTTTGTGCCTTTCATGGCCTTTGAACTATTTACAACTCTGTAACTTATAGATGACTGATAGCGATGCAAATTATTCTTATCCATAGACTGCAAATGAATTATTTTTCACAGTGTTTCAGTTGATTTTCCTCCCCGGTGTTGAAGAAGCCAGTTTTACATTTTTGAAGCAAATTCATTTATGTATTCCTGACAGCTCATGTGGCCAAATACGTGTCTGTACTTGATTCTCCTGTGAATCCGTTTTGGTTTTTGTAGCATCTTACTAGTTCCCTCATTAATAAATGAGTTAAATAAAGTATTTGACCTGTGTTTATATTTGTATAAGATACAATATTTTTCCTTTAAAAATATATATTTTTCTATTGGAGGATGGGAGAGGCTTCCAGGCATAGGAAATAATGGTATGTTTTTAAGATATGATAATGAGAAAGAACACGGTATGCTGGTAGCAGAAGAGGCACAGGAGTAGTAGAGAGGTGAGGCTAGAAGGATAAGCAAAATTTAGGTCACAAGGGCCTTGTGATGTAATGGAAATTTAAAAATGTATTATCTTAACAGCTAATATCAGAATTCCTCTTAGGTAGGTTACTATAATTTTTGAGGCAACACTTGGAATGCTGCGTGGTGATAGAACATGAGGTATCAAAGTCAGCAGGGATCAAGGTAAACATTTTAGGAGGTGGCTAAAGTGATCTTCCTAAAACAAAGAAAGACATTTGTTTTAGCTCCTGAAAAGGGAGGGGAAGAACAGAATCAAAAATCTGATGTGCAATTTAGACCATGTAAGATGAAGAGCCAGTAAAAATGTTTGTTGTTGAAGCAGCCAAAAAGCATTTCAAAAAAGGGATGCCTAAAGCTCAACCTGACATCTTTTGCATTGTCACAACATAAACCCTTTCAAAATTAGCTCTGTGTTGGTGGATTTTACGGGCATGTTCTAGGGGATTCTGTGATGTTTGTAGAACTTAAAAAGGAACAGAATTACATATCTCAGTTGCTGCAGAGTCACAACCCACTAAAACCTGAGCCCAGAAGTGGGGGTGCTAATGCAAAAGGTGCTCCCTACAGAGACCCAGAAATCTCAGATAGAAACCAAGATTCCCCTGTGTGTGGAATGAACTTATTTAGCTCTCAATGGGTAATAGATGACATGTGAGTTACATAAACCAAGCATAATGAACTTCAGCTTAGTCTTGAAAATGATAGAGAGCGACTGAGGTGGCTGGAGTGTTGAGATAGCTGTGCCTGGAGGTTAAGAAATGACATGAGAACAAGGGCAATGAAGTGCTGACTTGGAGTTGGGAGAGCAACAAGAGAAGAGTTGCACATTACAGAACATCTTATTTTGTAATGGGCAAAAAAAAAAAAAAATCACTTTACATGGGGACCTTAAAAATAAACTTATAAAACTTAGGACACAGAGCAAAGCTATGACTGGCAAAGTAATGGGGAGAGGGCCAGACAGTGGTTTGGATCACCAACTCATTGTTTCACACTTCTAGTTTCTAGCAGAGGGAAAGTCTAAAATTAGCTTCTCAAATATTGTCAGCATTTAAGAAATAATATCAGCACTAGTGCAGGGGAAAATGGGAAATGACGTGTGAACAGCTTCCTAGGGAGTGTTGACATTTTTAAAGAATGGTTCAGGGAAGGACCATCTTTCTTATCAACCACAAACTCTTTTTGAGGATCAATTTATATTGAAACACTTTGACAGATACAGTTGTTTAAGAGCTCACTCAGTATTGCAGAGCAAAGGAGAAAAAAATAATTCTATTAGTTCATTCTTACACTGCTATAAAGAAACCTGAGACGGGGTAACTTATAAAGAAAGAAGGTTTAATTGGCTCATGGTTCTGCAGGCTGTACAGGAAGCATAGTGGCTTCTGCTTCTTGGGAGACCTCAGGAAGCTTCCAATCATGTCAGAAGGCAAAGGGGAAACAAACACATAACATGGCCAGAGCAGAAAGAATACAGAGCAAGGGGGAAGGTGCTGCACACTTTTAAACAACCAGATCTCATGGGAACTCCTTCACTATCACAAGAACAACACCAAGTGGATGGTGCTAAACCACTCATGAGAAATCCACCTCCAAGGTCCCACCTCCAACAGTGGGGACTAGAATTTGACATGAGATTTGATGGGGACACAGATCCAAACCATATTATTCCACTCCTGGCCCCCTAAATCTCATGTTCTTCTCACATTGCAAAATACAATCATCCCTCCTCAACAGTCCCTCTAAGTCTTAACTCTTTTCTGCATTAACTCAAAAGTCCAAAGTCTCATCTGACACAAGGCTACTCTCTTCCACATATGAGCCTACAAAATCAAAAACAAGTTAGTTACTTTAAACATACAATGGGGGTATAGGCATTGGGTAGGTACTCCCATTCCAAAAGGGAGAAATCAACCAAAAGAAAGGGGCTACAAGTCCCATGCAAGTCCAAAACCCAGCAGGGCAGTCATTAAATCTTAAAGCTCCAAAATAATTTCCTTTCACTCCATGTCCCATATCTAGGGCATACTTATGCAAGGGATGATCTCCCAAGGCCTTGGGCAGCTCTGCACCTGTGGATCTTTAGGGTGTAGCCCCTGCAGCTGCTTTCATGGGATGGCACTGAATGCCTGCAGCTTTTCCAGGTGCATGGTGCAAGCTGTCAGTGGATCCTCCATTCTGGGGTCTGGAGGACGATGGCACTCTTCTCACAGCTCCAGTAGGCAGTGTCCCAGTGGGGACTCTGTTGGGGGGTGCTCCAACCCCACGTTTACCCTCCACACTATCCTAGTAGAGGTTCTCTGTGAGGGCTCCACTCTTGCAACAGGCTTCTGCCTGGACATTCAGGCTTTTCCATACATCCTCTGAAATCTAGGCAGAGGTGTCCAAGCCTCAACTCTTGCACGTTTTGCCCTCACAAGTTTAACATCATGTGGAAGTTCCCAAGTCTTACAGTTTGTACCTCCTGAAGCAGCAGCCCAAACCATACCTGGGCCCTTTGAGCTATGGCTGAAGCTGGAGTGGCTACGATGCAGGGACCAGTGTCCTGAGGCCATGCAGGGTAACCAGGGTCATGGGCCTGGACCACAAAACCATCCTCCCCTCCTAGGCCTCTGGGTCTGTGATAGGAGGGGCTGCTGCAAAGGTCTCTGAAATGCCTTCCAGACCTTTTCCCCATTGTCTTGGCAATTAGCAATTGGCTCTTTTTTACTTACACAAATTTCTAAGCCCTGCTTGAATTCTTCCCCTGAAAATGGGCTTTTCTTTTCTTACCACATTACCAGGCTGCAAATTCTCCAAACTTTTGCTTTACTTCCCCTTTAAACATAAGTTCCAACTTAGGTTGATTTTTTGCTCACACATATAAGCGTAGGCTGTTAGAAGCAGCCATGTCACTTCTTGAACACTTTGCTGCTTAGAAATTTCTTCCACCAGATACCATAAATCATCACTCTCAAGTTCAAAGTTCCACAGATCCCTAGGGCAGGGGCAAAAAGCAGCCAAATTATTTGCTAAGGCATAACAAAAGTGACCTTTACTTCAATTCTCAATAAGTTCCTCATTTCCACCTGAGACCTTATCAGCCTGAACTTCACTGTCCTTATCGCTACCAGCATTTTGGTCATAACCATTCAACCAGTCTCTAGGAAGTTCCAAACATTCCTTCAACTTCCTGTCTTCTTCTAAGCCCTCCACACTTTTCCAACTTCTGCTCATTACCCAGTTCCAAAGTCACTTCCACATTTTCAGGTATCTTTATAGCAAAGCCCCACTCCTCAGTACCTATTTTCTTCATTAGTCAGTTCTCGCATTGGTATAAAAAAAACCTGAGACAGGTAATTTATAAAGAAAAGAGGTTTAGCTGGGTGCGGTTGCTCATGCCTGTAATCATAGCACTTTGGGAGGCCAAGGCGGGTGGATCACAAGGCCAGGAGATCGAGACCATCCTGGCTAACATGGTGAAACCCCGTCTCTACTAAAAATACAAAAAATTAGATGGGCATGGTGGCAGGCTCCTGTAGTCCCGGCTACTCAGGAGGCTGAGGCAGGAGAATGGCGTGAACCCAGGAGCCGGAGCTTGCAGTGAGCCGAGATTGCACCACTGCACTCCAGCCTGGGTGACAGAGCAAGACTCCATCTCAAAAAAAAAAAAAAAAGAAAAGAAAAGAGGTTTAATTGGCTCACATTTCCACAGGCTGTACAGAAAGCATAATGCTGGCATCTGCTCAGCTTATGGGGAGACCTCCAGAAACTTACAATCATGGTGGAGGGGAAAGGGGGAGTGAGACATCTCACATGGCAGGAACAGGAGCAAGAAACATGTGGGGGTGGTACTACAGACTTTTAAACAACCAGATCTCATGATAATTCACTCAATCACTCTCATGAGAACAGCACCAAGAGAATGGTGCTAAACCATTCATGAAGGACCACCCCCATGATCCAATCACCTCCCACCAGGCCATACCTCCAACATTAGGGATATAATTCAACATGAGATTTGGGTGGGGACACAAATCCAAATCATATCAATAATGTTTTATTGGACTCAGGTCAAAATGTGGTTGAGAATATAAGCTTGGGGGTCAAACAGAATCCAACTTAAGACTGAGCTCTACAACTTACTGGTGATGTGATTTGGGCAAGTTACTTAACCTCTCTGTGCCTGTTCTCATCTATAAATAAGAGTTAAGGCCAGGCATGGTGGCTCACGCCTGTAATCCCAATACACCCGAGGCAGGTGGATCACTTGAGGTCAGGAGTTTGAAACCAGCCTGGCCAACATAGTGAAACCTGGTCTTTACTAAAATACAAAAATTAGCTGGGCATGGTGGTGCACACCTGTAATCCCAGCTACTCAGAAGGCTGAGGCAGGAGAATCACTTAAACCTGGGAGGCAGAGGTTGCAGTGAGCTGAGATCATGCCACTGCACTCCAGCCTGGGCAACAGAGCAAGACTCCGTCTCAAAAAAAATAAAAATAAAAAAACCAAAAGAAAACAAAAAAAAAAGGCTAGGCAAGGTGGCTCATGCCTGTAATCCCAGCGCTTTGGGAGGCCAAGGCAGGTGGATCACCTGAGGTCAGGAGTTCGAGACCAGCCTGACCAACATGGAGATACCAGTCTCTACTAAAAATACAAAATTAGTTGGGTGTGGTGGCGCATGCCTGTAATCCCAGCTACTTGAGAGGCTGAGGCAGGAGAATCACTTGAACCCAGGAGGCAGAGGTTCCAGTGAGCCAAGATCATGCCATTGCACTCCAGCCTGGGCAACAAGAGCAAAACTCCACCTCAAAAAAAAAAAAAAAAAAGAGTTAATGCAATAATTTTCTTAAATGAGTAATAAGGATTAAACAATAGTAACGATCATGGCTAAGTACTTAGGCAATGATAGCTTATTATAGCACTTAATATTTTAAACACTGTATAGCATTTTATATGTACTTTTTAATCCCCATAAGAATTCTGTAATGCAGATACTATTGTCATCCTGATTTTACAGAGGAGATAATGCATGTAAAGTGCTTACATGATGAATACCACATAGCACATGATCAATAAATATTCCATGTTATTACAGATGAGCTTGATGTCAGAAAGTACAATTTAGATAAGAAGGGCCAAAGATCACCTCATGACATTTTCTACATTGGACAAGTGCATAGTAATAATCTATCACCTTGGACACTCTACCTAGTAGCTTCCTAGTGGAAAAATTTTCTCAGCCTCTTCTATAATAATTTTACTGCTTTGTATCTATTTAGCATGCAATAGGAGCAATTACAGACTTTTCTGTAGAGCAATGGCATGATCAAATCATGTTAAAGAAGATTAATTTGTCAAGGGTAGGTATGAGGAGAGGGAAGGCATAGAAACCAACTAGGAAATTAATATTACTGCTGGCAAGAAATCTGACAATAAAACAGGAATAGGAGTCTTGATGAGAGATTTTAGAAGTTTTGCTTACCTGTACATCAGGAATAATGGTCTGTAGTTCTCTTTCCTTGTAATGCTTTTGTATAGTTTTGGTATCAGAATAATGTTGGCCTCATTAAATGAGTTGGGAAATATTCCTTCTTCTGTAAGGAACATTCTTCTGAAAGAGATTATGTGGAATTGGTATTTCTTCTTCTGATTGTCACACATTTTACCTATACGCATGTTATAAACCCCTCAATACGCTGTTGTTATTTTTGTTTAAAAAGTCAATTATCTTTATAAGAGATTTTAAAAATAATTAAAACTCTCATATATTTATTAACAAAGTTACCACTTACAGTGCTTTTTATTCCTTTGTGTAAATCTGTATTTCTACCTGGCGTCACTTCCTTCCAGTATAAAAACGTTAACATTTCTTGTAGTGAAGAAATGCTGGTAATAAATTATTTAAGTTTTTGTCTATCTGAAAAGGTTTTTATTTTGCCTTCATTTTTTAAAGATATTTTTGCTGGATATAAAATTCTAGGTGGCAGGTTTTTTTCTCCATTCTGTACTGGAAAAATTATCCCACTGTCTTCTTATTTTCATTGTTTCCAATGAAAAATCTGATGTCATCTTTATCTTTTTTATCTGGCTACTTTTAAGATTTTCTATGACTAGTTTTGAGAAATTTGATTATTATGTGCCTTAATGCCATTGTCTTCATGTTTCTTGAGCTTTGGGTTCATTGAGCTTCTGGGACCTGTAGATTTATAGCTTTCATCAAATTTGGAAAATATTTGGCCATTTTTTTCTAAATATTTGCCTCTGTCCTACATCTCTATTTCAGGGAATTCAATTACATATATACTAGGCCACTGAAATTGTCTCACAGCTCACTGCTCTTTACATTTAAAATAAATTATTTCTGATTAATTTTGAATACTTTCCATTGCTATATGTTCAAGTTCATTCATCTTTTCTTATGTAATTATAGTCTACTGCTAATCCTATCCAGGGTCTTTTTCATTTCAGACATTGCAGTTTTCATCTCTAGAAGTTTGGGTTGGATCTTTTTTGTATCTTCACATATCTACTTATCTTTTTGAATGTATACAAAATGTTTAAAATACTTTTAGTGTCTTTATCTGTTAGTTCTAAAATCTGTGTCATTTTGTGTCCAACATCTATTTTATTTTGATTAATCAACTTTTGTGTTTTGTTTGTTTGTTTGTTTGGTCCTCATCATGGGTGGCACTTTCTTACTTCTTTGCAAGAAATTTTTGATTGGATATCAGACATTTCAAATTTTATCTGCTGCTTTTTGTCCGACATCTTAGCGAGGCTGCAGTGTTCGCTGCTGCTCTCTGACCTTTGCAATACTGCTCAAGGACAAGAAGAAGAAAGACTCTGGAAAATTGGCCAAGAAAGACAAAGACCCAGTAAACAAATCCAGGGGCAAGTCCAGAAAGAAGAAGTGGTCCAGAGGCAAAGTTTGGGACAAACTCAATAGCTTAGTCTTGTTTGACAAAGCTACCTATAACAAACTCTGTAAGGAAGTTCCCAAATACAAACTTATAACCCCAGCTGTGGTCTCTGAAAGACTGAAGATTCGAGGCTCCCTGGCCAGGGCAGCCCTTCAGGAGCTCCTTAGTAAAGGACTTATCAAACTGGTTTCAAAGCACAGAGCTCAAGTAATTTACACCAGAAATACCAAGGGTGGAGATGCTCCAGCTACTGGTGAAGATGCATGAATATGTCCAACCAACTGTACATTTGGAAAAATAAAACTTTATTAAATAAAAAAAAAGTATCTGCTTAGGTGTTGGATATTTTTATATTCCCATAGGTATTCTTGAACTTTGTTCTAGGATGTTTCTATCTTACTTGAAAATAATTTTTAGTCTTGCTTTTAAAATGTTAGGTGAGACCAGAGGTACACTCAGTCTATATTATTTCTGACTACTGAGGCAAGAACTTTTTGAGTCCTCTACTAAATATCCCATGAATTATAACATTTTCCAGGTTGGATTATAGAGCAGGCACTACCCCTTGCTCTGTAGTAGAGCTGAATACTATTCTCTTTAATCTTCTTGGATGGTTCTTTGTCCAGTCCGGATAATTTTCTCATACACATGCGCCAATCAGTACTCTGCTTAATACTCAAGGGGACCTTCCTCAGGCACTAACCACATTGCGTGTGCTCAATAGCCAAATGTGATTAATGGCCAATGTTTTCAGTGACATATATATGAAACATTACTATTAATATTATTGCAGAAAGTTCTATTGGAAACTATTATTCTAGAGCCAGTCTTATCTGACATCAAGCCTTTACTCAGTGCATCAGTGCTTCTCAAAATTTACTGTGCATTTAGACCAGCTAGGGATCTTGTCAAAATGCAGATTCTGCTTCAGGACGTCTGGATCATACCTGACATTCTCTATTTCCAACAAGATACTAGGTGATGAGAATGCTATGAGTCAGCAGACCACAGTTGAGCAACACTGTAACCCATGAGATATAAGCGTGCATATATTATTAAGTTGGTCTGTTTTCTTTTTATGTGGAAGAAAAACATACTGAAACAAATAAAAATAGACCAATAATGAGAAAAGATCAGTGTAACATCTCATAATTTTTTTTTTTGCTTTTATGCAATTGTTTCAATACCTAACTGACAACTCTACCTTTACACACAAGTTAATTTCCTAAATACATATTTAGGAGGGTGAGTTCCATGTTTCCTTAATTTTAATGTGAACAGACTTTATGCTAAGAAGAGAAAATAGTATTCAGTGATATACTAGAGGTGGCTCATACCATTTTATGAGAATTGTTAAATTTTTAGAAATTTTGCAAGCCATTACGCAAAGTAAAATATAATTAAATTACTTTAAAATAAAGATATAAATTACTCAAATTCATCACTGCCTAATTATTTTGCTACTTTTTTTACTATATTATTTTACTACTTTACTATTATTTACCTCTTGAGGTTATTAGCATCTGTTTTATCTGCCCAGTTGAAATACAACATTTTGGTGAGCTATTACATGTTGGTAGTGATAGTGACAGGAGGCAGCCAAATGCCTAGGCAGATAGGGGCAGGTCCCCAGCAGAACCCCACCTACAAGCTGAAGACAGTTTAAAGCCTGAAAGCAAAGCTACAAGTTAAATCCTTGGACCAGATCAAGAACCCACCTTCCCATTTGGCATACTTTCCCCTGATTGATCCCCATTCTTCAACTATTTTACATATACTTGCCCTTCCCTAGTTGGTTTTCTACACTATTGTGCCCACCTTTGAGTGCTGTCTTTGCTTTGACCTTTTTTGCATACTCACAAACCAATCAGCACATACTCCCTATTCTGAGCCCATAAAAGGCCCTGGCACAACAATATTGAGAACTTTCCTGCCTTCAAGTAGGGAGACCATCCCTGCATCCCCTCCCCACTAAAAGCTTTTTCATCACTCAATATCACTCCCTGCCTTGCTCACTCTTTGAGTGTCTGCATGCCTACTTTTTCCTGTCATGAGACAAGAACCCAGAGTTGGCTGAGCTAAGGAGCAAAAAGTCCTGCATCAGTAGCTTGAAATTGACCATTTACACCACAGAAACAAGCAAATACTGCAAATAAGGGCTTCCCCTTCTTCCCCAGAGGGCTAATTGTTACACATATACCAGCACACCTCTGATGGTAGTGCCTTGGGAACCAAGTAAATTCAAAACATACTAGATTAAGTAGTGTCTTAAACAATAATATTTCTCACCAATTCTTAGAGTTAACTGGGATCAGACATTTTGAAACATGGGAGAAACATGATAATCAAGCCGAGAGACAGATCACTTACCCAGGAAAAAAGGCCAGATCCTTAGACCCAGAGAATCTGGCATACCATTATAATCCAGCTTCTTACCCACAGCAGGAACCATGAGGCTACACAAGGTCTTGAGGAAGAGAAGCAACCAGCTTTGTTCTTAACTGGAACAGACATCTCAGTCATTTATGTGCTGGAGATAAAACTTACTGATGCAGGACTGTTCCTTCCACGTGCCCTCACTGCCTCTCCACTTCCCAGCACGCCCAGAAAGATCAAAGAGTGTCTGTGCTTTGCCATCACAGTTTCTAGGTCTTTTATGATGCAGAATTGGGAGAATAAGTAAGAATAGTAAGAACAGGGTATGGGAGAGGAGGAAATGAGATCTAAATTAAGACCTGAAGGATTACCCTTTCTGAGGGTCAGTGTGGGGGATGGGGAGAGTTACAGGCTAAGTAAATAGAAGGCCAAGAAGAGGTGTAGCTTAATCTAAGAGTTGGAGGAGGCATGGGTAGAGATGTGTTTGAAGAGGTTAAGTGGGTGATTACGTTAGACCTTGTTAGCCTGGTAGAGATTCCCTCTATCTAAGAGCAACAGAAGGCCACTGAAGGATTTGAAAGAGAGAAGATATAGGATTACATTTACATTTTAGAAATAACATTTCAGCTGCAAAGTAGAGAATATGTTGGAATGGGCTAAGCCTGGAGACAGGGAGACCAGTTGGCAGTGACCTGATGGTAATGAACAATTACAGAAGTTATAGGGTATTTATACCTTTGCAGTGGGCATAGGCAAATAAGACAAGTTTAATATAGGCTATTGAAAAGTCATTTGAATACCTGAGATTTTAATCTTTTAACCTTAGATATTTGCCTTTGTGAAAGAAAATGAATCTTGGGGCCCCAAAGTCACTAAGCTAAGAGGAAAAGTTAGGTTGGGAACTGCTTAGGGCACACCTGCCTCCCATTTTATTCAAAATCATCCCTCTGCTCACTGAGAAAAGTACATAGTTGATGGCCTCCTTTGGAAAGGGTGATCAGAAACTCAGAAGAACGCAACATTTGTCTCTTATCTACCTATGACCTGGACGCCCCCTCCCCACTTCCAAGTTGTCCAAGTATTGATTGATGACTCATGTCTCCCTAAAATGTATAAAACCAAGCTGTGCTCTGACCACCTTGGGCATATGTCATCAGGACCTGCTGAGGCTATGTCACAGGTGTACGTCCTTAGCTTTGGCAACATTAACTTCCAAAATTGACTGAGATCTGTCTCAGATATTTGGGGTTCACACTTTATACCTGGGTGTGCAGAGTCCTCCCTTCCTTATAATTATACAGGATCTATTATATGCAAGGTACTCTGGATAGAGTAAACTTCTAGTGTTCCAAAGGAATTTAAACTATTAAAGATATATTTATTTTATTGTTGCAAAGTGTCTCTCTTCTGAGGAACAAAAAACACTTTATAATATTGTTTTATAGCCTACTGATTCCCTGTAAAGCCAGAATAATCAACAACCACAGTCTTTTGACTCATTAACAGTATTGAGTATTCACAGACTATAAACTATTGATAAACTATCCAGAGAGGGAGCATTCTCTCCTTTGGGGATGTTCTATGCCATCCTCACTGACAAACCAAACATATCCCCCATGCTACCTTGAAAGATTAAGATTTATGTTTGAGAACTCTAAGGCCCATTAATCAAGAAGACTGGTGAACAAACTATGCTTTAGTTTATTTGTAAACAGTATATATGTGTTCTCAACCTGAGAATAATCACTAATGCTATCAGCACACCTTGGATATACATTTTCCCTAAATATTTTAGTTTGGAATAACTTGAGCCCAATTTTCATGCATTAATATTAGTTCATAATTATAGTTATGTGTCACTTCACAACAGGGATATGTTCTGAGAAATGCAGCCTTAGGAGATATCATTCTTGTACAAACACCATAGAGTGTACTTACACAAACCTATACGGTATAGCCTACTACACTCCTAGGCTGTATGGCATAGCCTATTACTCCTAGGCTACAAACATGCACAGCATGTTACTGTACTGAATACTATAGGCAACTGTAACACAATGATAAGTATTTGTTTATCTAAATATATCTAAATGCAGAAAAGGTACGGTAAAAATACAGTACCATAATCTTATGGGACTACAGTCATATATGTGGTCCGTAGTTGACTGAAATGTCATTACACAGTTCATGACTGTACCACATCTGAAAACACAAAGCAATAGATTCTCTTTTGTTTTTGTTAAAACTGTGTTGGTTCTACCTTCTCTAGCAGAGCTGTACCTAAACAACTTCATGCACTCACAAAAACGTGATTGTCTCTTTTGAGAACATTCTGTCTCTACATAGATTAATATCTGTAGAATTCATAAGGAAACACAAAACAATATGTATCTTTCATTTATATACACACAGATACAGATAAATAGACCATTCCAGAAAAAGAAATTAACTTTGGTGAACTATTTGTAATTCATCCCCCAAAAAATTAAAGGTTATTTGAAATCTGGAATTCATATTAGACTGTGAAGTTAGACTCTGGGTAAACTTTTTTGATGAAGGGAATTTAACATACCAGAAAGAACAACTTTCAAATCTCAAGGTCAAACATGGGGCTATGAACTTATGGCCACTGGGGTGATCAAATGGCTGAAATTCATTGCAGTATAATTCAGGTAGTAAAACCTGGGAAAAGGTGGGAAAAGATGTCATAGGGAAAGTGCCCAAATGTTGGAATAACCCCAAAAGCTAAAAGAAGAGCCTCAGACACATTAGATAGTAAAGAAGTACCTACAGGAAAGCAAGACTATTACTTATCAGTCATACCACATGTAAGACCTACAACTTGAATGCTCTTATGACACTGAGTGCTAAACAACTCCTTGCAGGAGAAGTGCTGTGTCTAGGTTTCAGTTCTATAGTTCTGTCTATTCATTTGATCAGCAGATAATGAGAATCTTCAAATGCTGCGCACCATCCAAAGGCCAGAGTTATAGAGATGAAAGATACTCAAGGGCTTTGGAGCTGAAATGGGAACAAGGAAAGGAAAAAAAAAATAGATGGTGTATTTGAGCAGGGATCTGTGGAGTGCTAAGGACTGGAAGATAGTATAGAAACAATAATACACATACATGCTGGCACTGTTATGAACCCTTTGTATGGATTAATGCATTAAATCTGCACTATAACATAAGAGATTGGCATAATTCTTACCCCATTTAATAGAGGTAGAAATTAAGGTATAAATGTTATGTTATTTGTCCAAGGTCACACTACATTTACTGCCAAACATTCAGGTGGCCCCACGCACAGTAAAGTAAATGTCTGATCACCTCCAAGAAAGCAACAGGGATCATCATCATCACCACCACTCAATGCGTTGCACATGCCAGGCTTTTCTCTAAGTGTTTTTTGTTGTTGTTGTTGTTGTTGTTGTTTTTGAGATGGAGTCTCGCTCTGTAGCCCAGGCTGGAGTGCAGTGGCACCATCTTGGTTCACTGCAACCTCCGCCTCCCAGGTTCAAGCGATTCTCCTGCCTCAGCCTCCCGAGTAGCTAGGACTACAGGCACCTGCTACCACACCCAGCTAATTTTTGTATTTTTAGTAGAGGCAGGGTTTCACCATATTGGCCAGGCTGGTCTCGAACTCCTGACCTTGTGATCTGCCTGCCTCGGCCTCCCAAAGTGCTGGGATTACAGGCGTGAGCCACCGTGCCCAGCCTCTCTAAGTGTTTTATATATATTAACTCATCAAATCCTCACAACAACCCTCTTTCTTTTTTGTTTTGAGGCAGACTTTCTAAAATAATTGAATTTTTAGAGAAGTTTGAAGTTTACAAAAAGAATCCTGTGGAAAATACAGACAGTTCCCATATACCATCCTTTCCCCAGCCCCACCCTCAGCATACATAGTTTTCCTTATTAATATCTTACATTCATGTTGTACTTTCGTTACAATTGATGAGCCAATGTTGATACATTGTTAAAAGTCCACAGTTTATATGAGGGTTGACTCTGTGTTGTAGGGTTCTACAGGTTTTGACAAGTGTAACATGTATCCATCATTATATCACACAGCATAGTTTCACTGCTGACAAAAGTCCCCTGGGTTCCACCTATTCCTCCCTGTCTCCTCACCTCCAAACCCTTAGTACCCACTGATCTTTTCACTTTTCAGTTTGCCTGTTCCAGAATATCATGCGTTTGAAATCATACAGTATGTAGCCTTTTCATAATGGCTTCTTTCTATTAACAATATACATTTACGATTCTTCCATGTCTTTTTGTGGCTTGATAGCTTATTTGTTTTTATTGCTGAATGATACTCCATCGTATAAATGTACCAGTTTGTTTACCCATTCACCTACTAAAGGACATATTGGTTACTTCCAAGTTTTGGCAATTATGAATAAAGCTGTTATAAACATACCTGTGCAAGCTTTTCTGTAGACATAAGTTTTCAACTCATTTGGGTAAATACCAAGGTGCATGATTGCTAGATCCTATGGTAAGAGTATGTTTACCTTTGTAAGAAACCGCCAAACTGTCTTCCAAAATGGCTGTACCATTTTGCATTCCTACCAGCAATAAATGAGAGTTCCTCTTGCTCTACATCCTCTCCAGTATTTGATGTCAGTTTTTGGATTTTTGTTATTTTAATATTAATAGGTATGTAGTGGCACCTCACTATTGTTTTAGTTTGCAATTCCCTAATGATATAGAATGTTGAGCATCTTTTTATATACTTATGTGCCACTTTGATCTTTTGCCCATTTTTAATTGGGTTAACAACTCCATTTTTAGATGAGATAACTGAGGCATAGGAGTTCAACAACTTGCCCACAGTTACACAGCTGGAGTTGAGCCCAGGCATGAGCCCACATCCCTAATCACTATTCTATATTGCCTTTGGGATACACATTTTAGAGCTAAAAAGCCTGAGTCTCAATGCTGGCTTTCCAGTTTACTTGGTGTCTAACCTTTGATTATTTAATCTCTCTGAGCCTCAGTTTCTTCTACTATAATATGAGCATACCAGTTCTCACCATTGTCATGAGTGTTAAGACAGAGAAAGCACTGAATTTGTTCTCAGCATATAGCAGCTGCCAGTAAATGGTAGCTACCATTAGTCCAATGCCTCATGAAAGAGTGAGAAAGCCCTATAGTAGCCATAAGAATTAGCTCCTGCCTGGAAACTAAAATAGATCAGTCTAGAGCTTTAAATTCTGTGGAAACTCAGACATTCTTGGTGAGGTTTTCATAATCAGCTGTCGGCTGACACCTTAACTCCTTATACCTAGTGCATATGAATGAGTAAAGGGAGTTCTAGTTCTTGAAAGAATTTTTTTTACTGTACTCAATTTCCCTTTACTGTTCATCTTACCCTCCTGCTATCCCTGCAAAAAAAAAAAAAAAATTACAATTCTATTAACCTTTCAACTAATGAAGCATGTCTGGAACCAGATGTGCTCTGCGTGCCTCCACTGAAAACTGGAATGGTGGCAGAAAAGAAAAGCATCCAAGCAATTGTATCTGATGCGAATGAATAACTCTCAGAAGAACCAGGGCTCCTCTGAAACCACAGCAGATCTGGGTTGAGAGTGTCCTTAAGACCATATTTTAGGCTGGGCACAGTGGCTCACGCCAGTAATCCAAACACTTTGGGAGGCCGAGGCGGGAGGACCACCAGAGGTCTGTCCAACATGGTGAAACCCCATCTCTACTAAAAATACACCAAAAAAATTAGCTGGGCGTGGCAGCACGCACCTGTAGTCCCAACTATTTGGGAGGCTGAGGCAGGAGAATTGCTTGAACCCTGAGGCAGAGGTTGCAGTAAGCTGAGATCACACCTTTGCACTGCAGCCTGGGCAACAGAGCAGGACTCCATCTCAAAAAAAAAAGCATATTCTAGAGAGAGAGTTATGAAAAAAATAGATTATAGATTTAAGATTATCAGTAAAAGTAGAAGAAAACCGGATAAACAGTTTCTGAAATTATTTTCCAATGAAAGTGATCAAAAGCAAAGAATACGAGTTCAAAGAGGAAGAAAAAATTCCTAAAGAAACCTGATCTTCAAACCTCCCACTTTTGTCTGATGCTGTAGCATCTGTAGAATATCTTACCTTCTTTAAATAATGACCCTTAACTAGTTTAAATAACTTTTCCCCATGAGAGTTGACTAAGTTAAATAATTTACTTACATATCTGGGATCAAAATTGAAGCTCCTCCCCTTAGTGATTCAAGTTTCCAGAATGCACCTGTCTTCTTCTAGCAGTAGTTAATGAGAAAGTTGTGTTAAGTAAGACAATACATTAATTAATTACGTTTGGAAGAAACAGGTTTTACAGGCTTAAACTGGTATTAAAATCCTGCAAAGTACTTGGTTTGGCTTTTAAAAATTTTACCTTTTGATTTTCATTCACCCATTAAACTTTTTTTAGTACTATTACTGTGGTATAACATTGATTTAGATGCTATTAATGGGCAGATGAGGCCAAGCGCAGTGGCTTATGTCCGTAATCCCAGCAATTTGGGAGGCCAAGGTGGGTGGATTGCTTGAGCTCAGGAGTTGGAGACCAGCCTGAACAACATGATGAAACCCCATTTCTACCAAAAATACAAAACTTAGCCAGTTGTGGTGGCTCACACCTGTGGTCCCAGATACTTGGGAGGCTGAGGTGGGAGGATCACTTGAGCCCAGGGGTCTGAGGTTGCAGTGAGCCAAGATAATGCCACTGCACTCCAGCATGGGTGACAGAGTGAGACTCTGTCCCAGAAAATAAAAAATAGCTAGATAAAATCCCAGTATTAAAAAATACAGGTGAAGGGGTTGGGGAGCAGCTGTGTTAGAGAAAAGAAACTAATGTTTTAATAGGCACTTACTCACTGCCAGTCTTGTTTATATACAGCATTCTATTTCATACTCACAATAATCTCATGACATAAATGATCATTGAGAACTGAAACTAGTAAAACTTCCCACACCTATGTGTCATGTGGGACCCTTATTAACCTCAGTAGGGATGGCACCAGTTTCAAGAGGCCGAAGAAGAGAAGCAGAGCCAGCAAAGGAGACAGGGCTTTATTAGCAGGAAACTTACATACAGAGCAATCCCATGGCGGCAGGCTGGCAGAAGAACCATCACTGCTTGTAAAAAACAAAAACAGAAAAATCATGCAATTTATATAGCATTTTCACTTAACACCCTCCCCTTAACCTCCATCTGGCAACCTTCATTTAATCCCAAACAAAGGGCCTCAATCCCCTGTACAGCCCACGTTCCATGGGACAGGATGGGAGCTCAGACGTTCCTCTATAGATAAGGAATGACTCTTCGGATTGGCCACTCCTGGATTCCTTAGCTCAGAACTCCAAACACACGTTCAGGTGCATCTGCCACACAGGGTCATTATCAGGGTATGCGTAGTTATTGCTGTCAGGTGTGTCAACCATACACTATGTTAAACAGTCCTGGGATTGGACATACCTCTGTGTGAACCAGTACTGAGAAAAAGCAAAAATAACCTAGCTACTTTCTCCTGGAAGACAAGACCACGAGCCAACTAAAATAGTTTAATTTCAAGATTAACTATATGCTTGCCACACTTGAGCTCACCAGACCAAAGCTACTATGTCATAATTTCTGCCCAATCCTCAACCAGTTCTCCACCTTAAAACTACCCAGCCCTCACCCTAACTTCCATAAGTATCCTCCTGACTTCTCCCTTCTGGGATATTACTAAGTCTCTGTCAAGGTGATGTTTGCCCTTATTACAGTAAGTCTAATGCATTTAGATTTGTTTGATCAATAACTTGTTTTATTTTTCTTTTCTGGTGGTGTTTTGGAAAGACAACAGCCAATATTTTACAAATGAAGAAATCTGCCCAAACATACAGTTATTATGAACTACTTTCTTGAAGAGCCAACAGTTAAACCCAGCTGTAACTAATTCTGAAGGTCCTATTCTATCCACAGATGTATACGTTTAAGCATAAGTGTTAGATTAGATAAAGGAAACACAAGCTTTTACTGTATATTCTTAGAAGTTCACAAGTAAACAACTTTAAAAGAGATGGCAGATTAAAAATGGCAGTCTATAAATGCAAGGGAAATTCAAGTCCTTAAGTCAAGTCAAAATTTATTCACTGCCATCTGTTCTTCACAGTGACACAGCAATAAAGTGCATAAATAAATGAGTCACAGGCTTTAAAAGAGTTGCCCAAATGAGTCTTCAAACAGATACAAACAAAAAAGAACTGAAATCTAAGTATTGATTGTTAACCATAAGCGGAGCTTAGAATTTTCCACATGATCCTAAGAAAAATCTCCTAAGCCCTCTTGAGTCAGTGTTCAATGTGCTCTATAATCATAGACTTCTGAGGCCTGAGCATTGAATGGTTATTGAAAATACAAAACATCAAATAAAAATGCAAAAGTATTTCTGTTTCAAATGCATTGAAGATACTTTGTTGACTTCGAAATAAAGCAAAACAGAAAGACTGCGAGACACAGAGAAAGGTGAAGTTTGATCAATAGTCCCAGTTTGATTCATTCTGAAAGGAGGTAGAGAAGAGGTAAATGCAAAAGCAGAGTCAAATGAAGGAAAACAACAAACCATTTGCCAGAAAATATAAGACACATTCTGTACTGACCAAGGGCTCTCAGCTCAGCAAGAGGGGTTCCAGGGTCAGGATGAAAAGCTGGGGTCAGGGTGTGGTGAGTATTGACACTCCACCATTAAAGAGAGTCCAGATGGACACAGACTAGAGGGTACAAGCAATTTCCACAGCAGGGAAAGTTTCTCTCAACTCCTGGTAGGGAGAGGAACCATCACCTTACCATTAAAAATATTTGAGAATGCAAATTGTACCGTTGATGAATGAGTTAATAACAATAACAGGTGGCTCATGCCTGTAAGCCCAGCACTTTGGGAAGTCAAGGAGGGCAGACTGCCCAGGAACTCAAGACCAGCCCGAGCAACATGGCGAAACCCCATCTCTACAAAAAAAACACAAAAATTTTCTGGGCATGGTGGCGCATGCCTGTAGTCCCAGCTACTCAGGAGGTTGAGGTGGGAGGATCACTTGAACCTGGAAGGTCAAGGCTGCAGTGAGCCATAACCACACCACTGCACTCCAGCCCGGGTGACAGAGTAAGACCCTGTCTCAAAAAACAACAACAAAAAAGTAAAAAACCAAAAATAAATAAATAACAAAACAAAAATAATAGCTAACATTTTCATGTAGTGCTTGTTCTGTAGCAGGCAATGTTCTAAGCACTTTACATATATTAACTTATCTAAGTTCACCCTATGAGTACCTATGAGGTAGGCACTGTTATCGTTATTCTATATATGAGATAATTGAGGCATAGGGAGATTAAGTGACTTGCCTGGGTCTCACAGGAATGGCAGAGCCAAGATGAATCAATCAATTAATGCAGCCACTTGTGATGCTCTGCCTTAGCAGATAGAAACACATGCTATTTTTTGCCCTTATAATGTAGAAATAGACTTTACACTCAGCAGTCCACTTCAGACCTCAGTACTGAGTGCTCGTCAGTATTCATACAGAATAGAGCCTTCTCACCCTTGCTGTATCGCATTTTGTGCTTATTTATCACTTACAACACACACAATTTGTCACATTTTATCTCCCATTTCTTTCTTATTGTATATATTTATGGGGTACAATGTGATGTTTTAATATATATATATATATATATATATATATAGTGGAATCATTAATTTAAGCTAATTAACATATGCATTACCTGACAAACTATCATTATTTGTAGTGAGATCATTTAAAAATACTCTTAGCCATTTTCAAGTGTACAGTACATTAGTATTAACTGTAGTCACCATGCTGTACAACACACATCTCTAGAACTTATTCCTCCTGTGTAACTAAAACTTTATACCCTTTGAACACCTGCCATTTCATTAGAACATCACACACACACAAACGCACATGCGTGCGCACAGGCACACACACACACACACCTGGGTTGTCCTACTTAAACTGTGCTCTTGGGAGTGTATTTAGGTAGTTGGCTAAAACTGATTTATTTATTTATTTACTTATTTATTTATAAAACAGGGTCTCACTTTGTCACCCAGGCTGGGATACAGTGGTGTAATCATAGCTCACTGCAGCCTCCACCTCCTGGGCTCAAGCAACTCTCTCACCTCAGCCTCCCAAGTAGCTCGTCCTACAAGCACACACCACCACACCCAGCTAATTTAAAAAAAAATAAAAAATTGGCTGGGCATGGTGGCTCACTCCTGTAATTCCAGCACTTTGGGAGGCCGAGGTGGGTGGATCACGAGGTCAGGAGTTTGAGACCAGCCTGGACAACATGGTGAAGGCCTGTCTCTACTAAAAATAAAAAAATTAGCCGGGTGTGGTGGCACATGACTGTAATCCCAGCTACTCAGGAGGCTGAGGCAGGAGAATCGCTTGAACTCAGGAAGTGGAGGTTGCAGTGAGCCGAGATAATGCCATTGCACTCCAGCCTGGGCGACAGAGCGAGACTCCAACTTAAAAAAAAAAAAAAAAAAAAAATTGTAGAGATGGGGCCTTGCTGTGTTGCCCAAACTGATCTTAAACTCCTGGACTCAAGTTATCCTCCTGCCTCATCCTCCCAGAGTGCTGGGATTGCAGGTGTGAGCCACTGTGCCCAGGCTGATTTGTTATTTTTTAATTCATTTTCAGAATTATATTTAGCCAATTTAAAGGATAATTTTTAAATGTTTATATTTAGTATAAACTCTTCATTTTGGAACAACCTCAAACTTACAGACAAGTTGCAAGTAGAGTTCAAACAACTTTTCTTCTGGAAGAAATCATTTGAGAATAAGTTTCTAACCTGATGCCCAAATACTCACAAGTACTTTAGCATGTATTTCCTACAAACAAGAACATTTTCCTGCAAATTCACAACAGAACCATCAGAATTAGAAAGCTAACACTGATACTACAATAAAATTTCATCCTCAGACCCCAATTGTCCCATTAATGTCCTTTATAGATCCAGTTAAGGATCACATATTGCAGTCAGGTGCGGTGGCTCACGCCTGTAATCCCAGCACTTGGGAGGCCAAGACAGATGGATCACTTCAGGTCAGGAGTTTGAGACCAGCCTGGCCATCACAGTAAAATCCCATCTCTACTAAAAATACAAAAATTAGCCAGGTGTGGTAGTACACACCTGTAATCCCAGCTATTTGGGAGGCTGAGACAGGAGAATCACTTGAACCTGGGAGGCACAGTTTGCAGATGAGCAGAGATCAGGCCACTGCACTCCAGCTTGGGCAACAGAGTGAGACTCTGTCTCAAAAAAAAAAAAAAAAAAAGGACCAAATATTGCATTTGGTTGTCCTGTCTCTAGTCACCTTCAGCCTAGAACATTTTCCTCAGTCTTTCCTTGACTTTCATGGCCTTGATATTTTTGAAGATTACAGAGCACTTATTTTATAGAACGTCTCTTAATTTGGAGTTGTCTGACATTTTCTCATGATTAAATTCAGGTTACGTGCCTTCAGCAGGAATATTACAGAAATTATGATGTGTTCCTCTCATTGAATTTTTATTTGTTCCTTTACTGATAATATCAGCTTTAATCATTTGATTAAGGTGGTGTCTGCCAGGCATCTCCACTATAAACTTACTCTTCTCTTTATAATTAATGAATATTTTGTGTGGAGTCACTTTGAAACAATGTAAATAACCCATTCTTTATCAGATGTTCCATTTATTAATTTATATTAGCATGGACTCATGACTTCCTATTATAGTCAATGGGTTATAATCCCTTAGATGATAGATACCATTTTTTGATGCTAAAATTGTCAAGTGAAATCTCCTTCAAGCTTGCTTCTGGGTACTTTTGACATGGTCCTATAATTTCTAAGATAATCTTTTGATCTCTAGCTCAACAAGACGTTCCAAAAGTTTCATCTAAAAATGGAATTAGTCATATCTCTGGAAACCCCTTGGTCCTTTTTAGTAGAAAATGACATTTAAAAATCTGGGTGAAAGTTGTGCTTATTTCTCTCGGGGGGTCGTTTGCTATTGCAAGGCCACACGTACACACACACACATGCACACACACACCCCTATTTTTAGTGCTATATTTATCTTATTGATTTAATATTATATTTACTGAAAACCATGAGTTCACATAGATACAACCCATTCTAATCTAACATCGTAGCATTCATTGTAGTTTTCTCCCTTTCTATTAGACAGTAAAAATCTTGACTTCCCTTTTTCTTGAGATCTTTATTTTTTTATCAAGCCCCTTGTTTGTAATGAGTCTCCCATGACTGCTTCTGGGTCTCTCCTGCCTAGAGGCCCTCTTTATCCTGCCAGGAAACCTCAAGCCAAGCTGCCCCCATGCCTGGTGACCTTACCACCCTGCTTGGGCTCTGGCACTCCCCACCAGAGAGCCCCTCCTCATGAATGTCCTCGCTACCCCACTCAAGGCTTCACCCCTGTATGGCAGCCTCTTCCTCCCATGTGGTCTCTGACTCACCTGGTCAGGTTGACCCCTGGAAGGATGCTCCTCACACCCTGCTTGTGACCTGGTTCCCCCTTGAGACTGCCCACCTCACAATGTGATAACCACCTTGCTCTGTCACAATCCTGCCTTTATAACTGAACTTTTTTTTGGAGACAGAGTCTCACTCTGTCACCCAGGCTGGAGTGAGTACAGTGGTACAATCTCGGCTCACTGCAACCTCCGCCTCCCAGGTTCAAGTGATTCTCATGCCTCAGCCTCCTGAGTAGCTGGGCCTACAGGCACGTGCCACCGTGTCTGGCTAATTTTTGTATTTTTAGTAGAGATGGAGTTTCACTATGTTGGCCAGGCTGATCTTGAACCCCTGACCTCAGGTGATCCACCTTCCTAGGCCTCCCAAAGTGCTCGGATTACAGGTGTGAGCCACCACGCCTGGCCTATAATTGAACTTTTCAGAAAGGGGAAGGGAAACAGAAAGGCAAAGGAAGCCAACACATACATTTCAAAACATCAGCATTGTTCAAAAAAAAAAAAGAAATCACCAGAAACTTTTGTTTTCAAACTGCTAGAGAAAGATTTTCAGCAAATCAAAGCATGGTTTTTAAAAAGGAAAACAATTCTAAGCATGAAGAAAATGTTTATTTGCCGTGAAGATCCTACATCAACCAGTAAACAAAAATGTATTAATCACATGCTACTTTCTGGAACTTCCCCTAACATTTGCATGGCCCAGGACAAAAATACAAATAGAGACCCACATACCAATAGAGAAAATACTTAAAAGTTATTGGCAACGTTAATAAACTTTCAGATAAAATATATTCTAACCTCTTACCTTGACAAATTACCTTTATAAACAACAAAATTTTTAAATGTATAAAACTATGTTTTTATATGATCACAAGTCAGGTAAATATCAAAGACAATTGAACTGAATTACAATTGCACATGTCAGAGTGTTCTGTTGATGAGCCAGTGAAAACTGGGTAACAAAGGCATACATAATTCATTAATTACACTGATTCTATAAAACTACTCTTACTTCCTGGGTTTTTTTGTTTTGTTTTGTTTTGTTTTTTTGTTTTGTTTTTGAGACAGAGTCTCACTGTATCGCCCAGGCTGGAGTGCAGTGGCGTGATCTCAGCTCACTGTAACCTCTGCCTCCCAGGTTCATGCTATTCTCCTGCCTCAGCCTCCCAAGTAGCTGGGACTACAGGCACACGCCATCATGCCCGGCTAATTATTGTATTTTTAGTAGAGATAGGGTTTCACTGTGTTAGCCAGGATGGTCTCGATCTCCTGACCTCGTGATCTGCCCGCCTCGGCCTCCCAAAGTGCCAGGATTAGAGGCGTGAGCCACCGCGCCCGGCCTACTCTTACTTTCATTTTACCAAAATCACTAATTATGTGGTCATAATCAAATTTTTACACAATTTGCTTCTACTATAAGTAACTCTAAATTAGCCTTTCTTGAGCCACAGAAGTCCCTATGTAAGTTTGTTTTTTCTATTTTTAGCAATTTCAATTTGGAGAGCAACAGCACTGAGACAACAGCAAGTGAAATAAAATTTCTAAAGCAATAGTTAGATTCAGAAACAAATCATGAACTTTATGTTGTATGTCTAAACATTGTAATGAAGCCACATATGATAAATTATTGTAATTGCTAAAGTATTACAGAACACTTAATTCCATCATGTAAGTCATTATCATATACTAACTTTTGCCATCTTTTAAATCAATATTAATATCCAAGCTTTTATGTGAAGAATCAGTATCATGCTTCATGCATGTTATATCTAGACCTACATATAGGTAGATTTAAGAGTAATACAAAACAGGCCGGGCGCGGTGGCTCACGCCTGTAATTCCAGCACTTTGGGAGGCTGAGGAGGGTGGATCATGAGGTCAGGAGATCGAGACCATCCTGGCCAACACGGTGAAACCCCATCTCTACTAAAAATACAAAAAAATTAGCAGGGCGTGGTGGTGGGCACCTGTAGTCCCAGCTACTTGGGAGGCTGAGGCAGGAGAACGGCGTGAACCCGGGAGGCAGAGCTTGCGTGAGCCGAGATCGCGCCACTGCACTCCAGCCTGGGTGACAGAGGGAGACTCTGTCTCAAATAAAAAAAAGAGTAATACAAATCATTTAATATTGCAAAATGTTTCCCAGGTGCCATGTTAAGAGCAAGCAAGAAAATGGATGCTGGGCAGTATTGGGATATAATTCATTATGCAAAAATACATTTATATCACCTGAGAGGAAAGAATTGACAATTTTTTTTCTCTTACCTAACCACTTCTACTGCTCAAATACTTCCCTCAGAAATAGTATGTTTCTGAAGTTGGCAGTGGCCCAATCTACAACCTTCACAGAACTCTGACACAGTCTCCTTTTATTTTAAGGACACAGGGCAAGGGATGACGAGATGAATGCTGCTATTAGTCTTGAGAGGGGCTGTTGGGATTACAGGTCATGCTGTGCCACAGCTGAGACCATACCACAGGTAACTCCTGCCTATGGATTTCTTAATAAACTTATATTTTTGTTTTTGTGATATATGGAGCCCTCTAAGACATGGGGCCCAAGGCAAAAACCCCTTCTCTGGGGCTGAAGGGCCATGATGCTATGCTGTTTCCACTGCATAAAGTGCTCTGGGAAGTAAAAAGTGAGGTTATAAAATACAGCAGAATCTTCATGAGAGTTGAAAACCTAAATAGGGAGCAGGTAGAGTACTAGGATCCATAAAGGGAACAAATGGAGTAAGAGAGACGGTTGCCCAAATGCTGGAGATATGAGATTCTTTGTACATACCCATGAAATCCTAGACTGCCCCAAGGGCAGGGACAGTTTCCAGAGCCTCAGAGCCTTGCAAAGCACCTGGTGCAAAATCAATGCACAATAAATGCTGAGGATGAAAGAAAGGAGCACATGGCCCCTGAATTGATGAACTCAAACTTCTGATGCCTTAAAATAAATGTTCTCCCCATTTGTCTTCCATTTCTTTCTCTTTCTCCCCTGTCTGCCCAGAGTTTCTCCCTTTTATCCTTTCTTGTCTCCCATGGACACACCCTTAGTAGTTAACCTTATCCCCTCTCTTAGGTTCAAGATACCAGTGGGTATTTGATATTTTCCTCCCATTTAAATTTCTTTTAATTAGTGTTTTCCATGGGGATGTTGTACATACTTATATACGCATTTAACTGATATTAGGGTTTTTTTCCTATGCATCCTATGTAATATCATTTCCATTAGTGGAGTTTCTAACAAGGAATTGGGTCACAGAATTGTTAACTTTGTTAAAGATGCTTTTACAACAAAGTGACATTTTTGAGGTGACTTCCTGGGCCCATTAAAAACAGGAAGTCAGGCCAGGTGCGGTGGCTCACGCCTATAATTCCAGCAATTTGGGAGGCCGAGGCGGGTGGATCGCCTGAGGTCAGGAGTTCGAGACCAGCCTGGCTAACATAGTGAAACCCTGTCTCTACTAAAAATACAGAAAATTAGCTGGGCACGGTCGTGGGCACCTGTAATCCCAGCTACTCTGGAGGCTGAGGCAGGAGAATCGCTTGAGCCCTGGAGGCGGAGGTTGCAGTGAGCCGAGATTGTGCCATTGCACTCCAGCCTGGGCAACAACAGTGAGACTCTGTCTTAAAAAAAAAAAAAACAAAAAAAAAACCGGAAGTCTTAATCATGCTCAGTAATTAAGAGAAAATAAATAGCTAATATGAAATGAACCCAAATTGTTATTCATCTGTTTTGGAATGGAGAGATGTACTGTATATGCACAAACATTCCCAGGCATGCTCTAATTCATCCTCTTAAATGCCTGATATTTTATCCTATCTTGGTTTAGTTCTGGCAGCTTTAATTATGATCAAATGCTGAGAGTCAAGAAATAAACCAGATATTTGTCAAGCACCCACAAAGTTCATGGTATCACATGAGGTTCTCAGAACACAGTGTACAGAAGAGCTAGTCTTCTTAAGGAGTTCATAATCTAAGAAGAAAGGAAACAGAAACACGCAATTACAGTAACTGCAAAATGAATAGATCAAAGACTGCATTTGTAAATTAGAGAATGGATTGAATAAATTCGAGTCCTACCTAAACACTGGTTTGCATGAAAGCGTACAAAAAAGGAAATAAAGAAGCCAACTGAAAGCATGACACATTCAATTTAATTTTTTATTGAAGTAAAATTTACTTACAGTCAAATGCATAGATCTTAGGTATGTAAGTCAATGAATTTTAACAAATGCATATACACATAACAATATATCATTCATGATGCTCTGGTTTCTCTTCAGAACGAACAAACCTTTCACCTTTTATAATATATCATTTATGATATAGACTATTTCCATCACCCTGAAAAGTTCATTAACATCTTGGCCGGGTGCGGTGGCTCACACCTGTAATCCCAACACTTTGGGAGGCCGAGGCAGGTGGATCATGAGGTCAGGAGTTTGAGACCAGCCTGGCCAAATGGTGAAACCCCATCTCTACTAAAAATACAAAAATTAGCTGGGCGTGGTGGTGGTGCCTATAGTCACAGCTACTCCGGAGGCTGAGGCGTGAGAATCGCTTGAACCCCAGAGGTGGAGGTTGCAGTGAGCCAAGATCGCACCATTGCACTCCAGCCTGGAGAACAAGAGTGAAACTCCATCTTAAAAAAAAAAACAAAAACAAACAAAAAAAAAGTTCATTAACATCTGTAGGATCTATATAGTGACATCCCTCTTTCATTCCTGATTTTAGTCGTTTGTGTTTTCTCTCTTTTTTTCTTGGTCGGTTAATTTTATTACTCCTTTCAAAAAACAGCTCTTAACTGTGATTCTTCATTGCTTGTTCATTTTCTATTTTCTTTATTTTTGCTGTTTATTATTTTCTTTCTTGTACTTTTTTGGCTATAATTTTCTCTTTTTTTAGGTTTTTAAAGTAGAAAGTGAGATCATTGATTTAAGACATTTCCCATTTTCTTTCTTTTTTTTCTTTTGAGATGGGGTCTCACTGTGTTGCCCAGGCTGGTCTTGAACACCTGGCTTCAAGCAATCCTGAACCCCTCACCTCAAGCAATCCTCCTGCCTCAACTTCCCAAAATGTTGAAATTACAGTCATGAGCCACTGTACCCAGCCTAATCTTTGCCTTTTAATTGGGTGTTTAATCTATTTATAGTGAATGTAATTATTGATATTATTGGGATTGAGTTTGCCATCTTGCTTTTGGTTTTCTATATATCCCATCTGTTATTTCTTCTCATCATACTTTTTATGTTTCTTTTGGTATAATCAAATATTTTTAAGACTACATTTCAATTCTTCTATTGGTTTTCTAGCTATACGCCTTTGAATTGTTTTAAGTGGTTGCTCAGAGGATTATATGTACCTGAAACCTACTATAGTCTAATTAGGGTTAATAGTGTACACATAAAATGCAAGACAGTAAAATTGTATTCCTATTCCTTCCTTTTTTTTTTTTTTTTTTTTTGAGATGGAGTTTTGCTCTTGTTGCCCAAGCTGGAGTGCAATGGCATGATCTCGATTCACTGCAACCTCTGCCTCCCGAGTTCAAGCGATTCTCCTGCCTCAGACTCTGGAGTAGCTGAGATTACAGGCTTGCAACACCATGCCCAGCTAATTTTTTGTATTTTTAGTAGAAATGAGGTTTCACCATGTTATCCAGGCTAGTCGTGAACTCCTAACCTCAGGTCATCTGTCTGCCTTGGCCTCCCAAAGTGCTGAGATTACAGGCATGAGCCACCGCACTCGGCCAATCCCTTCATATTTTGTGCCATTTTTGTGATACACTTCATTGCTACATATGTAATAAATTCGACTGTGTAATGTTACTATGTTTGCTCTAAATAATTTCTAAGAAACTAAGCAATCTAATATGTATGATTGGAATTCCAGAAACAGAGAAGAAAATGAAGGGAAAAGAAAATACATTTGAAGAAATAATTGCCAAAAACTTCCTAAATTTTGTGAAAAACATATACAGACTGAGCATCCAAATCTGAAATCCATATTACTCCAAAAATTCACATCTTTTTAAGTGTTGGCATGATCTTCAAAGGAAATGTTCACTGGAGCATTTTGGATTTCAGATTTTTGGATTTTGGATGCTCACCTGATAAGTATAATGCAAATATTCCAAAAAAAAAAACCCACAAAGCCCGAAGCACTTTTTAATCCAAGCCTGGGTTCACTAAACACACACAAACACCCGAAGTACATCAAAGTCAAACTGCTAAAAAGCAAAATAAACAAAATTCTTAAGGCAGCCTGAAAAAAAGAGATACATTACATACAGGAGAATAATGATAAGAAAGATAATTAAATTTTCATTAGAAAAAATGGAGACCAGAAGAAATGAACACCTCTTTAAATGCTAAAAATAAACAAGAAAAGGCTATCAACACAGCATTCTAAATGCAGCAAAAATACCTTTCAAAATTAAGAGTGAAACTCTTGTTTTCCATATTTATGGAGTGAAGAGTTCAAGCAAATTCTTCCACAGAGAACAATTATGAAATCTGAACAAAATATTGCTTAAAAAACAACTACTTAAAGGCATTTAAAAGCGACCAGAAGCAGTCAGAAACCAGAAGTGAGTTTACACTTGAAAATCCACTTTGGAAATGGGTCAGAATTGTGAATTTGTGATGGTTTTGCCCTAGGATGTTTCCCCAAACTCCCTATCTCCAGAAGCAGAAAACTGAAGCCTTACCCACTCAGTGTGACAGAGGACAGAGTTCTTTCAGGGATGAAAGAGCAGCTGGAAATTTATAACTCTGCAAGTGCAAGAGTGTCAAAATCTCTGTAGGCTCTACACATCTTTCCATATCCCTGATCAACCATTATGAGTGCATGGGAGAAACTGATGGGACAATAATAGTTTTAGTCCAAGCAAGTTAATTGCCTATTAAAGTAAAAGCAAACAATCATCAGAAGAACATAAAAGTGTCCAGTGTTACTACAATGTATCACCTACAATATTCATTTTTCAACCAAAAATTACTAAGCACGCAAAGAAACAGGAAAGCATGACCCATACTCAGGATGAAAGGAAATCAGTAGACAGTGATTCCAAGTGGGCCCAAATGCTGTATGTCAGGGGTCCCCAACTCCTGGGCCATGGACCAGTACCAGTCCGTGGCCTGTTGGGAACCCCCCTGCACAGCAGGAGGTGAGCTGTGGGTCAGCAAGCATTACCACCTGAGCTCTGCCTCCTGTCAGATCAGCAGCAGCATTATATTCTCATAGGAGCACGAACCCTATTGTGAACTGTGCATGCAAGGGATCTAGATTGTGCTCCTTATAAGAATCTGACTTGGCCAGGCGCAGTGGCTCACGTCTGTAATCCCATTACTTTGGGAGGCCGAGACAGGCAGATCGCCTGAGGTCGGGAATTCGAGACCAGCCTGGCCAGCATGGTGAAACCTATCTCTACTAAAAATACAAAAATTAGCCAAGTGTGGTGGCAGGCTCCTGTAATCCCAACTACTCGGGAAGCTGAGGCACGAAAATCACTTGAATCTGGGAGGTGGAGGTTGCAGTGAGCCGAGATCATGCCATTGCACTCCAGCCTAGGCAACAGAGCAAGACTGTCTCAAAAAAAAAAAAAAAAAAAATCTCAGGTGGAACAGTTTCATCCCAAAACCATCCCCCGCCCCCATGTAAAAATTGTTTTTGACAAAACCCATCCCTGGTGCTGCTGCTATATACAGAAGTCAAAGATTTCAAAGCAGCTATTATAAAGAATTAAAATGTGTCCAAATAATTAAAGGAAAATTTTCTCTCAATACATGAACAGATAGAGAATCTTAACACACAAGTGGAAATTACTTTCTAAAAAGAAAAAGTTGAAATTCTAGAGTGAAACGTAAAGTGATAGAAATAAAAAGTTCACTACATGGACTCAATATCTCATTTGAGATGACAGTGAAAGGGGCAGTGAACTAAAAAGAGATCAAAAGAAACTATCCAACATGAAGAACAAAGAGTATAAAGATTGACCCATTTCAGAAACCTGTGAGACAAGGTAAATGGAGTCTCAGAATACAAGAGGAGAGAGGAAGGGTCACACAAAATATCTGATGAGTAATGAATTAAAATTTCCCAAATTTGGTGGAAAATATTAACTTACAGATCTAATAAGTTCAACAAACCCCAAGCAGGATAAATACAAAGAAAACCACAGCTAGTTAGCACATTGGAGTCAAACTGCTAAAAATCAAGAAGAAAAATCCAAAAAGCATATATTTTGTCTGGTTTTCTTATTGTGTGTGGTAGGAAAGAAAATCCAAGACCAATTACTTTGGTAATGATTGGAAATAAAAGTCCCATACATTCCTTTTAAATCTGGCTCTCAAAAGACCTACTGATTAACTTGAACTCATTCTATCTCTATTTCTGTTATACTTTATGTGCACCATCACTTACTTTTAGGATGCTCTGTGCATCCTGTGACAACTACTCCTTTAAACCTGTCTATATTAGTCATCTATATGTCATAACAAAATGCCATAAATTGGATGGCTTAAACAACAGCTGTTTATTTCTCACAGTTCTGGAGGCTGGGAAGTCCAAGATCAACATGCTGGGAAATTCACTTCCTGGTGAGATTCCTCTTTCTGACTTGTAGCTGCCTGCCTTCTTGCTGTGTCCTCACGTGATGGAGAGAGAAAGAGCTCTGCTCTCTCTTCCTCTTCTTATAAGGACACTAATCTCATAATGAGGGCACTACCCTCCTGATCTAACTATCTGCCAAAAGCTCCACCTCCAAATACCATCATATGGGGGGTTAAGGATACAACATAAGAATTTGGTCAGGGGGGCCGGGAGGGAGGCCGGGGGGCAGCCCCCGCCCGGCCAGCCGCCCCGTCCGGGAGGGAGGCAGGGGGTGCCTCCGCCCGGCCGCCGCCCCGTCCAGGAGGTGGGGGGCGCCTCTGCCCGGCCGCCCCTTCTGGGAAGTGAGGAGCCCCTCTGCCCGGCCGCCACCCCGTCTGGGAGGTGTACCCAACAGCTCATTGAGAACGGGCCATGATGACGATGGCGGTTTTGTCGAATAGAAAAGGGGGAAATGTGGGGAAAAGATAGAGAAATCAGATTGTTGCTGTGCCTGTGTGGAAAGAAGTAGACATAGGAGACTCCATTTTGTTCTGTACTAAGAAAAATTCTTCTGCCTTGGGATACTGTTGATCTATGACCTTACCCCCAACCCGGTGCTCTCTGAAACATGTGCTGTGTCCACTCAGGGTTAAATGGATTAAGGGTGGTGCAAGATGTGCTTTGTTAAACAGATGCTTGAAGGCAGCATGCTCGTTAAGAGTCATCACCACTCCCTAATCTCAAGTACCCAGGGACACAAACACTGCGGAAGGCCGCAGGGTCCTCTGCCTAGGAAAACCAGAGACCTTTGTTCACTTGTTTATCTGCTGACCTTCCCTCCACTATTGTCCTATGACCCTGCCAAATCCCCCTCTGTGAGAAACACCCAAGAATGATCAGTAAAAAAAAAAAGAATTTGGGCAGCGGGGAACACAAACATTTAGTCCATAACAATCTCACTGGTCCTCTTAAAGTAATGAAAACAATCTGAATTTATCAGTAACTTTTGATAGAGTTTTGCCCCTAGCATTAAAAGAATAAATGAACCCTTGGATTTCTAAGGTAAAACAAACGTTGTTCGAGCAACAGGATACATTCAAAGATTTCAGTTTAGGAAGAGTGATGGAAGAAATGATGCTGTCTAACCCAGTGCTTTTAAACGTTGTCAAACATTCCAGAATGATTCTTCATCTGAACCTTTCCTTTCCTTCTGTTATCTCCTTCTGAGTCACTCCCTTGGGGTTGGAATAAGAATACAATTTAACATATTGTTCAAATAATCATAGGAGGAGAGAGACAGAACATTCTGTGCCCTTCCGCCCTTTTTGGACCCTAAGGTGTTAAACTGTGTTAGCATCTTTTTAACCCATAAGCATCATTGACATGGCACTTCTCAATCTGTTTTTCCTTTACTTCACAGAAAAGACTCTTCTCTTAGCAAGGGCCAAATGCTAGCGCAAAATAAACTTATTTAATTGGACTTGTCCTTTTATTTCCAAGACTGATTTAACTGGGGTAGCCTAGGCTGACACACAAACAAAATTGAAACAATTCAAACCTGGAAACAAATTGCACCCATTTGCTGAACTTGAGTACTACATTTTAGCTGCACTTCAGATAAACTTAAAGGATTTTCAAAGTACTTTACCACTTCAAATTGGACTTGAATGTGTAGCTATTTTTATAAAACTACTGAGTAAATTTGGACATTAAAATATTCTCCAAAACATCCTAAAGTGAAGTAATACTCATATGGCGGAGTTTCTGTTCCTTGAAAAGTGAAGCCAGTGTTTTTACCTTGGATATATGGAATATCTCTAGGAGGAATGGAAGTTTTGTTTTCGCTTTTTAAAGAAATTACCACCTTTAATACAGTGACAAATGGCATGCTATGAGGGAAGAATAAGGGGTGGAAAAATCAAGGGAAAGAGCCATGTCAGAACTCCTTCAGGCTAGCCACAGTAGGATGGCGTTCCCCCAGGCCACAGTCAGCACATTTCAACAGAACCACACTCTGGTCTGAGTTTGGTGGCTTTCGTTTTCATTTGTAATTCTAATCACATTTTTATTTGTTCCACACTTTCTTCTTGGCACCTCCTAATTATTGACACAAAGGACAAATTGGTCAAACTTCTGGCTAGAATTGGGATGCCTCGTACCTGACAGGACTTTGTGTTTATCTTTTACTGCCTAGAGTATAAGATTCTACCAGAAATTGGGCAAGTGAGATGTTTAAGATGCAAAGGGTGGAGATGGAAATTTCCAACCCTTGAAATGCACAAGAGAACAAAATACATGTATTCTTGCACTTTTAGTTTAGGCTCATTTATTTTTCACAGTACATTTTACCCATGTGAAATATGAGGGGAAAATTACTTTACTTTGGATCTCTGTAAATTTCAAACTTCTTGAGCTGTAATACAGAGAAAATTTGACAACTGGCCCAGATGGTTAACTGTCTATTAATCTGATTTTGCTCTCCATGTTGAAACAAACTCAACAAGCTTGTCAGGGAACCAACAGCCTCCTCAGTTTGCCTCCACTTTCTCTCTACAGAGTTCCCTTCTCACCTGTCCAACTGTTTGAAACCTTTTCCATCTACCCTAACACTCCAAATTCTAGACATCAGTTTTTTTCTGTCTCCCTAGCCAGAGTGTGGATAAAAGGCTTATCTCCTACATCTTGTTTTAAGGGGTCTGACCACATGCTCACTTAAAGGATAAAGCAGGCTCAAAGCCTGCCTATTAACTATGATGTATAAAAGGAACCAAATAGCTTCTTCTTTTTTTTTTTTGAGACGGACTCTTGCTCTGTCGCCCAAGCTGGAGTGCAGTGGCATGATCTCAGCTGACTGCAACCTCCACCTCCCAGGTTCAAGCGATTCTCCTGCCTCAGCCTCCCGAGTAGCTGGGATTACAGGCGCGCGCCACCACGCCTGGCTAATTTTTTTGTATTTTTAAGAGACAGGGTTTTACCATGTTGGTCAGGCTGGTCTCAAATTCCTGACCTTGTGATCCACCCACCTCGGCCTCCCAAAGTGCTGGGATTACAGGCCTGAGCCACCGCGCCCAGCCGCATTTTTAAATTAAACTCAGGAAGTTATTCAATACTTGTATCTAGAGCATGTGCCTCCAGGTTCATTGAGCCAATACCTGGGTAAATGAGAGAAAAGTTGCATTTTTAAGTTAGAGAAGAGTGGTTTTTGTTATATGAAGGTTTTTCAACTCTATTAGAAAAGCTTCTGCGTGGAGGTCAGAATTTCTATGAACTGTTAAATTTCCCTCACAAAGTAAATCTGTCTCCCCAAGAAGTATAGAAATAGGTTACCCCGAGGATCAGGCCCACATGATTCATAGCTACTTATAGGATCTGAGCCCACACGGTCAAGCAACACGGAGTGCATGGCAGTCCTTTGTTGTTTACAATGGTGATCGTGGGCAAAGTAAACAGCTGGTATGAATCCTTTAGGACAGCTGAGAGGCCCATAGACAATCACACAATTCAATTATTTTCATTTTGTGAGAAATCTGTTGGTATGGGAGAGTGAAGGCTGGAAAAACTCTCAAAACTGGCTTGATCCAGTGATTTCCAAACCTGAGTAATTATAAAAATTATCTGGGAGTTTGTGAAAATGCTGATTTCTAAGTGTCACCTCATCTACTTGAGTCAGCAAATAGAACTCTGATATTTATATCATTTTAAAAGCTCCCTGGGGCCAGGCAGGGTGGCTCATGTCTGTAATCCCAGCACTTTGGGAGGCTGAGGCAGGTAGATTGTTTGAGCCCAGGAGTTCAAGGCCAGCCTGAATAACATGGTGAAACCCTGTCTCTACAAAAACTATAAAAATTAGCCTGGCGTTGTGGCACACACCTGTAGTCCCAGCTACTCGGGAGGCAGAGGCGGGAGGATGGCTTGAGCCCAGGAGTCAGAGGCTGCAGTGAGCAGCAATCGCCCCACTGCACTCCAGCCTGGGTGAAAGAGTGAAACTGTCTCAGAACAAAACAACAACAACAAAAAAAAACTCCCTGGGTGATCAGAGGGCAGCTAGGTTTTGGGGATCTACTATTTTCTCATTTATTCTTATGTAGAATAAAAGAATTATTAAATTACAATGATAATATATCACATTATAGATGAATATCTGCATAACTCAGTGGTTTTGCATAATGACCAAAATAATGTTGGCAAAGTTAGAAAAGTTTTCCTGGAGTTATTCATGGATTCATGGCTGTGCACAAAGCCAGCCTGACTCTGGAGGGCTTTCTCTGCTTAGTTGCCCTTCCCCTCGCCACCATCCCCTTCATCTGAAAAAATTACTCTTGTTCCCCAATAAAATCTGTATTGTTATTTGTTAGATTATACAGTGTATGCACGGCAAAAAATAAAATAAACAACACATAAATGAAACAAAAGATATAAATGATTTCAAACTCTGTCATGTTTAGATAACTCTCATTCATTTGGGACCCATTATTTCATAAAAATCTTTATGCATATGTATAAATGTATAGCTCTAAATATATATATATATTTTTTACATATATATATATTTTTTTAACAGAGTCTCTCTCTGTCACCGAGGCTGTAGTGCAGTGGCACGATTTCAGCTCACTGCAACCTCCGCCTTCTGGGTTCAAGCAGTTCTCCTGTTTCAGCCTCCCGAGTAGCTGGGATTACAGGCGCCCACCACCACAACTGGCTAATTTTTATATTTTTAGTAGAGATGGGGTTTCACCATGTTGGCCAGGCTGGTCTCGAGCTCCTGGACTCAAGTGATCTGCCCTCCTCGGCCTCTCAAAGTGCTGAGATTACAGGCGTGAGCCACCGTGCCTGGCCTAAATATATATATTTATGTAACTGTTGTAGAATAGATTATTAATCAGAAATATTAACCCCCTCCCCTACCCCCACATCCATGAGTAGAATGTACTTCCCTATCCCTTGACTTTGTCACTTGCTTTGGCCAATGAAGGAGGAAGTTGACAATGTGCTAGTTTCATAGATGTCCCTCACTTGACATCTTGAGTTTCTGCCATTCCATGAGAAGAGCCCACAAGACAGCCTGCTAATACCAGGAAGAGGATGAGAGCCACATCCAGCGAAGCCTTCCCTGTAGGCCCAGCCCCACTTCCACTGATGTGGAAGCTAAATAAATATATGTTGCTCTATGGCACTGAGAGTTTGCAAATCTTTGTGACATAATAGCTAGGCAATGAAAAACCTTTTTTTTTTTTTTTTTTGAGACGGGTCTCACTCTGTCACCCAGGCTGGAGTACAGGGGCATGATCTCAGCTCACTGCAGTCTCCGCCTCCCCAGTTCAAGCAATTCTCCTGCCTCAGCCTCCCAAGTAGCTGGGATTACAGACACGCACCACTACGTCTGGCTAACTTTTTGTATTTTTAGTAGAGAGGGGGTTTTGCCATATTGGCCAGGCTGGTCTCAAACTCCTAACCTCAGGTGATCCATCTGCCTCAGCCTCCCAAAGTGCTGGGATTACAGGCGTGAGCCACCATGCCCAGCTGAAAAACTTTTTTAAAATAATAAATTACATTATATTATCCATGCATACATGGTCATGTTGCATGATACCGTATTTTTGTAAGTTTTTGTGGTTGATTTTTGTTTCCTTGCTACATCTTTCCCATCCTCCTTACCATAACCTCCCCTCCAATACCCATGTAGCCAATGTTACCAATCTAGATTATATCTTTCCATACCTTTATCCATATAGCTATACACAAACATAGAAATATCTACATGAAGGAAGGTCGTCCTAGTTTGTTTTATGAAAACGGAATAATATTATAATTATGATGTCATGGGAGAGAAGTATGGTCAGATACCTATACATATATACATGCATATATGTATCTATATATGATACACATGCATATGTATACACACATACATATATACATACATACATATGACAGAGGGATGTAGACCTCTGTCAGGATGAGAAAAGGCTTCCCTGAGAGACTGATACTTAAGCTGAGCCATAAGGATGGTGTTATAGGCTAAATTGTGTTCCTCAAAAGCACATAAGTTGAGGTTCTAACCTTCATTAGCTCTGAATGTGACTTTTTCAGGATAGGGTCTTTAAAAAGGTAATGAAATTAAAATGAGTTCATTTGGGTGGGCCCTAATCTAATAAAACTGGTGTCCTTGTAGGAAGAGGAAATTTGGACACAAACACACAGAGAGAAAACCATGTGAAGACCCAGGGAGAAGACAGTGACCTATAAGCCAAGGAGAGAGGCCTCAGAAAAAACAACCCTGGCCAGGCGCAGTGGCTCACACCTGTAATCTCAGCAATTTGGGAGGCCAAGGTGGGTGGATCACCTGAGGTCTGGAGTTCGAGACCAGCCTGACCAACATGGAGAAACCCCATCTCTACTAAAAATACAAAATTAGCCAGGCATGGTGGCATATGCCTATAATCCCAGCTACTCAGGAGGCTGAGGCAGGAGAATCGCTTGAACCTGGGAGGCAAAGGTTGTGGTGACCCGAGATCACACCATTGCACTCCAGCCTGGGCAAAAAGAGCAGAACTTCGTCTCAGAAAAAAAGGAAAGAAAGAAAGAAACCAACCCTGCTGACACCTTGATCTCAGACTTCAAGCCTCCAGAATTGTGAGACAATAGATTTTTGTTGTTCAAGCCATCTAGTCTGTGGCACTTTATTACGGCAGCCCTAGGAAACTAATATAGATGAATAGGAGTTTTCCATTACAGGGAGATAAGGAAAAGGGTACTTACACATTGCTGGTGGAAATGGACATTTTAACAGCCTTTTTGGATAGCAATTTGGCAATAGCTATGAAAAATTTGTTTCCAGTTATTTTGCCACTACAATGCAATTTAAAAAACACTTACATATTTATCCTCACTTACTGAATGGGCTTTTATTTCTATGAACAGATTCCCAAGAGTGAAACTGCTGGCATGAGATCTTGTTAAAAAATGCTTTTCTTGTGGGTTTCCCCAGAGTCCTGTTGTCCCTACAATTATACTATAAAACTGCTGATCTCAGAATATTTCATTTCCTAAAGTTCAAGTTGTATATCAAGCATAAAAATCAGTTCGAAAAATTGCTCTCAACAAAATAAGAGGTAGCAAAAGTCTGTAACTATGCAGATTATATTAGTTTTCTATCGCTGCATAAAAATTACACAAACTTAGGGCTTAAACAACACACATTTATTATTTCACAGTTTCTGCAAGTCTGGAGTCCAGGAAGGGCTTAGCTAGGTTCTCCTCAAGGCTGCAGTCGAGGTGTTAGTTGAGCTGTGTGCTCATCTGGATGCTCAACTAGGGGAAAATCTACTTCCAAACTCATTCAAATGGTTGGCAGAATTCATTTCTTTGCAGTTGGAAGGCTGAGGGACCAGCTTCTTGCTGGCTGGAGGCTGGAGGTCATCTGCATGACCTTATCATATAGGTTTCCCCAATATTGCCAATGACTTCATCAAGCCAACAAGGAGAGTCTGTAAAGTGAGTCTGTTAGCAAGACAGAGACTTACATAACATAATCACAGAAGCGACACCGCGTCAACTTTGTCATATTCTATTGGTTAAAAGTAAGTCACAAGTCCTGTCTATGTTCATGGGAAGGGGATTACACAAAGGCATGAACACTAGAAGGCAGAAATCATAAGGGCCACCTTACAGTCTGTCTGCCACACAGATTTGAAACCTTCCTTGTCTGTGGCTAGGTGAGGTGGCTCACGCCTATAATCCCAGCACTTTTAGAGGCCAAGGCAGGTGGATCACCCAAGGTCAGGAGTTTGAGACCAGCCTGGTGAACATAGTGAAACCCTGTCTCTACTAAAAACACAAAAAATAGCCAGGCGTGGCAGTGCACATCTGTAATCCCAGCTACTTGGGAGGCTGAGGCAGGAGAATCACTTGAACCGGGGAGGTGGAGGTTGCAGTGAGCCCAGATTGTGCCACTGCACTCCTGCCTGGGCAACAAAGTGAGACTCTGTCTCTAAATAAATAAATAAAATAAAATAAAATCTTCTGGGCCAGCGTGGTGGCTCATGCCTGTAATCCCAGCACTTTGGGAGACCAAGTCATATGGATCACTTGAGGCCAGGAGTTCAAGACCAGCCTGGCCAACATGGCAAAACCCCATCTCTACTAAAAATATAAAAATTAGCTGGGCGTGGTGGTGGGCATCTGTAATCCCAGCTACTCAGGAGGCTGAGGCAGGAGAATCACTTGAACCTGGGAGGCAGAGGTTGCAGTGAGCCGAGATCATGCCACTGCACTATAGCCTGGGCAACAGAGAGATACTCTGTCTAAAAAAAAAAAAAAGAAAGAAAGAAAAGAAAAGAAAAAAAGAAATCTTCCTTGTCTGTGAATGAAAATACGTAATTTTTTTTTGGTATTCCACTAATCAAATATATCAATGTGCCTGATTTCTCAAAACAAGTCAGTAAAGATACCTGATGTTCCTTGCTTCCTTCCTTGGCTTTCTATGGCTTGATGTTTCTTTCACTTTATTACAATTAAATTGAAGTCAACAAACATTTGTGAATACCTGCTAAGTATAAGTCTTTTCGGAGGTATTGAGAGGCCTAATCACTTCCATTTTTTAAGACTACCGTTATACTATAAAATCTGAAGAAATGAGTAATAATGGTTACAACATTGCTGTATATTTTAAACGGAAAGTGTAGAACTGAAAAAATGTAACATCCAAAATTAAAAAGTCACTGGATGAACTTTATAGCAGAACAAACATAAGAGGGAAAGTCAGTTAATAGAACAATAAAAATTATCCAATCTGAAAAACAAATGAAACATTTTTTTAAAAAACTAACAGAGCCTGAGGAAGCTGAAGGACAATATCAAGGGGGTTGATATAGGGGCAACTGGAGCCCCATAAAGAAAGAAAAGAGAAAATGCAGTAGAAAAGAAATGCATGAGGAAATGATAGCAACAAAACTCCCCAAATTTGGTGAAAGACAAATTGATAGATTCAAGAAACCCTAATCAGGATAAATACAAGGAAAACCACATCTAGACATATCCTAGACAGACTGCTTGTGATAGACAGTTTTGACATGGCCCCCACTGACCTCAACCTCCTGGTGCTCATGCCTTTGTATAATCCCCTTCCCTCAAGTGTGAGCTGAACCTAGTGACTTGCTTTTAATGAATAGAATACAACAAAACTAATGGGATGTCACTTCCATGATTAGGTTACAAAAACTGTGACTTCCATTTTGGTAGGGCGCTCTCTCTCTGTGTCTGTGTGTGTGTGTGTGTGTGTGTGTGTGTGTGTGTGTGTGTGTGTGTGTACATGAAGCAACCTGCCATGTTGTGAGATGCTGTATGGAGGGGACCATGTGTCAAGGAACTAAGGGAAGTCTCTGGCCAATAGCTCATGAAAAACTGACATGTCTCTGGCCAACAGCCACAAGGAACGGAATGCTGGCAACCACCACGTGAATGAACTCTGTGAAAATTCTTCACAGTCAAGCCTGAGAAGACCATAGCCTTGTGAGGAGACTCGAAGCCAAAGCAGAGGACCAAGAACCCTTAGCTACACCCAGATTCCCAATCCACAGAAATTATGAGATAATAAGTGTCTATTGTTTTACCAGCTAAGTTTTGGAACAATTTGTTACACAGCAATAAATAACCAATACACTGCTGAAAACCAAAAATTAACAGGAAACTGTGAAAGTAGCCAGGAAAAAAACCAATATATTACATTCCAGGGGGAACATTATTCAGTGGCATTGGACTTTTTATCAGAAGCTGTGGGGGCCAGGAGGCAGTGAATTATATTTTTCAAGTGCTTGAAGAATTAAACTGTCATTTCAGCATTCTATATCCAGCCAAAATATCCTATGAAAATGAAAACAAACAACAAAAAAACTAAATAAGTGTTTAAATAAAGGAAAACTAAGAGACTTCATTACCACCAGATGTGCATTACAAGAAATGCTGGACCGGACAACTCATGGCGGCGGTGGCGGCAGCTGCTTGGGCGCGGTGCGGTGGTGACTGAGCTACAAGCCTGGCGGCGGGTGTGCGCCGAGCCCCGGCCCAGCGCGGCCCCCGCGTGCCTCCCAGGCTCCGCACCCCCGATGCTGCGCGGGTGCTGAGCCCGCTCCGGCCGGGACGATGGTGAAGTATTTCCTGGGCCAGAGCGTGCAACGGAGCTCCTGGGACCAAGTGTTCGCCGCCTTCTGGCAGCGGTACCCGAATCCCTATAGCAAACATGTCTTGACGGAAGACGTAGTACACCGGGAGGTAACCCCTGACCAGAAACTGCTGTCCGGGCGACTCCTGACCAAGACCAACAGGACGCCCTGCTGGGCCGAGCGACTGTTTCCTGCCAATGTTGATCACTCGGTGTACATCCTGGAGGACTCTATTGTGGACCCACAGAATCAGACCATGACCACCTTCACCTGGAACATCAACCATGCCCGGCTGATGGTGGTGGAGGAACGATGTGTTTACTGTGTGAACTCTGACAACAGTGGCCGGACCGAAATCCGCCGGGAAGCCTGGGTCTCCTCTAGCTTATTTGGTGTCTCCAGAGCTGTCCAGGAATTTGGTCTTGCCTGGTTCAAAAGCAATGTGACCAAGACTATGAAGGGTTTTGAATATATCTTGGCAAAGCTGCAAGGCGAGGCCCCTTCCAAAACACTTGTTGAGACAGCCAAGGAAGCCAAGGAGAAGGCAAAGGAGACAGCACTGGCAGCTACAGAGAAGGCCAAGGACCTCGCCAGCAAGGCAGCCACCAAGAAGCAGCAGCAGCAGCAACAGTTTGTGTAGCCAGCCCACCACCACCACAGCACCCCAGACAGCTAGGCTTAGCCCCTCTGCCCTCCCTCCATTGTACTTGATCATTAAAAATCAACTTCCAGCCCTATCTACTGTCTGGGTGGTGGGTTATGGGGATGCAGTTTGGCATCTGCAGTACACCAAGCACATGATTCATGTCTGAGCCAGGTCTGCTTATTCTCCCATTAGGCAGCTGAGGACCGAGGCACAGAGGTGCGGTGACTTGCCCGGGGTTCCAGGTAGCCTCCAGGTTAACTGGCAGTAAGTGCTAGACTGTAAGCCCGACGAGGGCAGGGCTTTTGGTTTTGTTCTCTGATGTGTCTCAGTATCTAGCACATAATAGACACTCAATAAATAATTGTTGAATTCAGTCAGCACCCCCCCCAAAAAAAAGAAATGCTAGAGGGAGTTCAGCAGATTGACAGAAATGACACCAAAGGAAAACTCGCATCTTTAGGAATGAATTTATTTATTAATTTATTTAGCGACAGGGTCTCGCTGTGTCACTCAGGCTGGAGTATAGTGGCATGATCGTGGCTCACTGCAACCTCTGCCTCCCAGGCTCAAGCGATCCTCCCACCTCAGCCTCCAAGTAGCTGGGACCACAGGAGCATGCCACCACACCTGGGCAAATTTATTCATATTTTTAGTAGAGACAAGATTTCGCCATGTTGCCCAGGGTGGTCTCAAACTCCTGGGCTCAAGTGACCCGCCCACCTTGACCTCCCAAAGTGCTGAAATTATAGGCATAAACCACTGTGCCCGGCCTAGGAATGATTTTAAATCATCAGGAATGGTAAATATCTGAACACATTACAATTTTTCCTCTTAATTTATTTGGAATACATATAGATGTTTAAGTTATAGCATTTATAGCATTATTTTTTGAAGTTTATAATGTATGTAGATGTGTTACATATGATAACTATAGCACAAAATGGCAAGTAGAGTGTTAAATGGACCTATACAAATGAAGTAGGTCCTATACTAACAGAAAATAAACAAAAAAAAAGCAGACCTAAATCAAATCATGTTAATTATTATATTAAATGTTACTGGATTATGCACTGAAAAAAGGGTCGGGGGAGGAATTATAAGAATAGTTTTTTTTTTTTTTTTTTTGAGACAGAGTCTCGTTCTGTTGCCCAGGCTGAAGTGCAGTGGTGCAATCTCGGCTCACTGCAACCTCTGCCCTCCCAGGTTCAAGCAATTCTCCTTCCCCAGCCTCCCGAGTAGCTGAGACTGCAGGTGCATGCCACCACGTCCAGCTAATTTTTGTATTTTTAGTGGAGACAGGGTTTCGCCATGTTGACCAGGCTGGTCTCGAACTCCTGACCTCAGGTGATCTGCCTGCCTCAGCCTCCCAAAGTGCTGAGATTAGAGGCGTGAGCCACCATGCCCAGCTTGAGCCACCCTGCCCAGCTCAGAATAAATTTTAAAAAGGAAGATTCATCTCAGAAATGTATTTAAAATAATGCTTGTTAACTTTTATCTAGTATTTCCAGGTATTTTTAGCTGAAAGATTTTTATATCTACTATTTTTCTGGTATCAGAAATCTTGAAGTCTTCTTTTATTGTGAGATTACTTGGAAGAGGAAATAAAATGACAACAACTGTGTACCAATTCATACCCTAACTTGTACTCATGGTTGGAGGGTGGCCTTAAACAGTAGAATAGGAGGTTAGAGGCAAATGAGGTCCTGGGCATCTAGATCAGTAGGTAACTTCTAAACAGGGGTATGTTGGATCATGTTCTTTGTGGTCTTTGCGTCTTATCTTTTTTCCTCTTGTTTCTCATTTGACCAAAAAAAAATAATAATTAATACCTGTGCACCAGGTACTGTGCTATAGCACAGTGGAAAGACAGGAAAGAACAATACAGACATAGTCCCTGACCTTAAAAAGCAGCCCAGTCTGATAAACAAACATTTAAAAATTACTCAAATAATTATTTCATAACCATATGACAAGTGTTAAATACAAGTTACCATGAGAGCCAGGTACAGGGCCAGTCAGCTGAATTCCTAAGCCTCATCACCTGGGTCCACTCAGTTATCTTAGAGAACCAAAAAGAAAACTCAAAAAAACAAAAACAAAAACAAAAAAGCCCAAGTAAGGTAAATACAGGAAAAACCTGAAGCTAGTTTAAAATAGAGGTCATACAAGTCATGCACTTTATGTAGACATAAAATATTCAAATTAATATTATACTTAATACTTATCTGGTTTCCCTTGGCAACCATGCAGGAGTGGCTCAACAGAGAGGAAGAGAAAAAAAAATTGTATCATTCTGGCAGCTTCAAGAAGTTACCATGGAGAAGAGAGATGCCAACAAGAAAGAAGACATTGTTATGACCAAAACCAGAATAACAGTATGTAATGTGCAAGCTCCCAGCCTTACACACCACACAATTTCAGAGGCATCAGTGAGGGAGAAGACAGCACAACTGTGAATCAAGATAACACAGCAGTGATGGCTCAAGCCTGTAATCCTAGCACTTTGGGAGGCCGAGGCGGGCGGATCATCTGAGGTCGGGAGTTCGAGACCAGCCCGGCCAACATGGCAAAACCCTGTCTCTACTAAAAAAATACAAAAATTAGCCAGGCGTGGTGGCATGCACCTGTAATCCCAACTACTTGGGAGGCTGAAACAGGAGAATTACTTGAACCTAAGAGGTGGAGGTTGCAGTGGGCTGAGATCATGCCACTGCACTCCTGCCTGGGTGACAGAGACTCTGTCTTAAAAAAAAAAAAAAAAAAAAAAGATAGCACAGCAGCCTGGCAGTACTCAGGAAGAACAGGGGTTAAGTTCTACCTGCCTCATCTCCCTGAGGTATGCCATTTTTATCACAGACTAGAAGAACATGTATCTGTTTACCTCCATATTCTCAGTGCCTGGAAAAAAATAACATTCAATCAATGAGTCATGTGTAAACACAGTGATGCCTCAAAAAGTGTTAAAAATTATGACCAATATATTCTAGTGGCAAATGCAGGCGTGTATCAATTGCATTTTGAAAAGTACTGTTATGATAAGCACAATCTGAGAGATATGCTACAGAAGACAGGACCAGAGAGACTTATTGGGTTGGTGAAAAGTAACTGTGGTTTTTGCCATTAAAAGTAATTTAAAAGTAATGACAAAAACCACAATTACTTTTGCACCAACCTAATACTTCCTTAAGAAGGAAAATGGCCTGATAGAGGCCACTACCCTGATTCACAATGGGTAAAAGGCAAAGGTTTGGTTCAACATTGTTTACTTAAGAACTGGGCCAGGCGCAGTGGCTCATGCCTGTAATCTTAGGACTTTGGGAGGCCGAGGTGGGCAGATTGCCTGAGCTCAGGAGTTAGAGGCCAGCCTGGGCAACATAGTGAAGCCCCGTCTCTACTAAAATACAAAAGAAATTACCCGGGCGTAGTGGCGTGTGCCTGTAGTCCCAGCTAACTTGGGAGGCCGAGGTTGCAGTGAGGGGAGATCGCGCCACTGCAGCCACTGCACTCCAACCTGGGTGACAGAGCAAGGCTCGATCTCAAAAAAAAAAAAAAGAAAAGAAAAAGAAAAAGAACTATATTTCTCCCTTTCAACTAATCCATTTGGCAGTTTTTGTTTTGTTGCTAATCAGACACCCTTCTGTTGGGATGGATGTAGTGGAAGAGATAGATACACAATGATCAGTTGTATGATTATCCTGCAAGTGAACAGGGCAAAAGAAATGCTTTAAGAATTACAAAAGCCAGCTGGGCCCAGTGGCTCACTCCTGTCATCCCAGCACTTTGGGAGGCCAAGGCGGGTGGATCACCTGAGGTCAGGAGTTCGAGATCAGCCTGACCAATATGATGAAACCCCATCTCTACTAAAAATATAACAAATTAGCTGGGCATGGTGGCATGCGCTTGTAATCCCAGCTACTCGGGAGGCTGCCAGGAGAATTGCTTGAACCCGGGAGGCAGAGGCTGCAGTGAGCGGAGATCACGCCATTGCACTCCAGCCTGGACAACAAAAGCAAAATTCCATCTCAAAAAAAAAAAACTACAAAAGCCATCAACTATTTGGTGTAACTAGAACATGTGAACAATTTAAGAGAGCCTAGTAAGTAGCAATTGGAAATGGAATGGGTCTTTTAATATTAAAAGGCTATATAGGCTTTAGACTTTCACTTTTTAAGTCTAAAGTTAAGCTTTTTGGCCTGGCGCAGTGGCTCACGCCTGTAATCCCAGCACTTTGGGAGGCTGAGGCGGGCAGATCATGAGGTCAGGAGATCGAGGTCATCCTGGCTAACACGGTGAAACCCCATTTCTACTAAAAATACAAAAAATTAGCCAGACGTGGTGGCAGGCGCCTGTAGTCCCAGCTACTCGGGAGGCTGAGGCAGGAGAATGGTGTGAACCCAGGGAGCAGAGCTTGCAGTAAGCCGAGATCGTGCCACTGCACTCCAGCCTGGGCGACAGAGCGAGACTCCGTCTCAAAAAAAAAAGAAAAAAATTAAGCTTTTGAAGAGAAACTCTTATCAAATGAACACTCTCTTCAAGAACAGGTATAAAGCTAGATAAAAATATGAAAAAGGTAGTTATTTGAAGATACTGAGAAGCTACCAAGGTAGCCAGGGCAGGGAAGTCAAGATCCTAGAGGAAAAGGAAACAAATCGGAATAAATCAGACATTCTCCACCAATGTTTTCCCTTGGGGCATTTACCATTTCCTGGCTAGGAGATAGAGGTATAGCAGAAAGTAGTGGGCAAGAGTTTTCAGTAAGTTTATGGGGATAGGAAGACAAAAATTGGGGTTCAAGACAAGTGGAGCAGCCAAGACATGAACAGCCAGGGTCCCAGAGAGAAGAAAATCACAGAAAAATGAGTGTGAAATTTTGCAAGGATTTTACCTCAAGGAATCTTCTGAATCCTAAGTCACTGAAGAACAGGGAAAGGAGTAGGAGCAGTTACATAAAAATAAACAAACAGGCTGGGCACAGCGGCTCATGCCTGTAATCCCAGCACTTTGGGAGGCCAAGGCAGGTGGATCACAAGGTCAGGAGATCAAGACCATCATGGCCAACATGGTGAAACCCCGTCTCTACTAAAATACAAAAAATTAGCTGAGTGTGGTGGTGCACGCCTGTAATCCCAGCTACTCAGGAGGCTGAGGCAGGGGAATCACTTGAACCCGGGAGGCGGTGGTTGCAGTGAGCGAGATTGGGCCACTGCACTCCAGCCTGGCAACAGAGCAAGACTCCATCTCAAAAACAAACAAACAAACAAACAAAACACAATTGTTAAGGTGTTTAAGGGATAAGCAGTGATTTGGGAAATCTCAGAGAACTAAACAGACAAAAACTGGAGTTCAGAGCCTGAAATGGAGAAAGAATCCTGGACAACATGCCAGGTTTTAAGTAGAGATCCCTGAAGGACTATTTTCTAGGTTCAAGGGTATAACCGTAATATAGCATGCCTCATAGAGCCTTAAACTCAGCCTCTAACCATCTCAAAGCCTGATCAAAATGAATGACATCTGTCTCTAGTTAACTGCTGGCAAGGCCGGTGCAGTGGCTCATGCCACCCAACAGTTTGTGAGGCCAAGGGAGGAGGATTGCTTGAGCCCAGAAGTTTGAGACCAGCCTGAGCAACAAAGTGAGACTCCTTCTCTACAACAAATTGTAAAATTAGCCAGGTGTGGTGGTGCACATCTGTGGTCCAAGCTGCACAAGAGGCTGAGGGAGGAAGATTGCTTGAGCCCAGGAGGTCAAGGCTGTAGTAAACCATGTTCACACTACTGCACTCCAGCCTGGGCAACAGAGTGAGACCCTGTCTCCAAAAAATACAAGGATCAAAAAAATATATATATTGTAAAACAAACTTATAAGACATGGTTTAAAAAAAAAAAGGGAGGCCAACATATGTCTAAATGAGAAGAAATAGAATGGTCCAAATAATATTTGAAGAGATAGTTTCTGAGAATTTTCCAGAATTGATGAAAGACCTTGAACTACAGATTCAAGGATCTCTAAAAACTTCAACCAGAATAAATACAAACAAAATCAAATCTGGACATTTCATAGTAAAATGGTTTAGAATTAAGGAGAAAGAAAAAAATCTTAGAAGTGACTGAAATAGGAGAGATGCATAATTTTAAAGGAGTAACAATAAAACTGATAGCTAGCTGGGCACGGTGGCTCGTGCCTATAGTCCCAGCACTTTGGGAGGCCGAGGTGGAGTGGATCACCTGAAGTCAAGAGTTCGAGACCAGCCTGGCCAACATGGTGAAACCCCATCTCTACTAAAAATACAAAAATTAGCCAAGCATGGTGGCGCACACCTGTAGTCCCAGCTACTTGGGAGGCTGAGGCAGGAGAATCACTAGAACCCACAAGGTGGAGGTTGCGGTGAGCCAAGATCGCACCACTGCACTCCACCCTGAGCGATAAAGTGAGACTCTGTCTCAAGAAAAAATAAAAATAAATAAAAAATAAAACTGATAGCTTACCCTTTCATAGAAATATAAAAGCAACTAAACAATGGAATAAAATCTTCAAAGGGCTGAAAGAGAGTGACAACCAACCTGGAAATCTATATCCAGGCCGGGCACGGTGACTCACGCCTGTAATCCCAGAACTTTGGGAGGCTGAGGTGGGTGGATCACTTGAGGTCAGGAGTTTGAGACCAGTCTGGCCAACATGGTGAAACCCTGTCTCTACTAAAAATACAAAAATTATCTGGGCATGATGGTGGGTACCTGTAATCCCAGCTACTCAGGGGGCTGAGGCAGGAGAGTTGCTTGAACCTGGGAGGTGGAGGTTGCAGTGCACTGAGATCGCACCACTGCACTCCAGACTGGGCCACAGAGCAAAACCATGTCTCAAAAAAAAAAAAAAGAAAAAGAAAAAGAAAACAATTTATATTCAGTTTTATATATGTATATATATATATATATATACTTCAAAAGTGAAGGTGAAATAAAGACATTTGCATATGCACAAAAACTTGGAA